>NC_000003.12:129917695-130069210 GCF_000001405.40 Homo sapiens | reverse complement strand
TGGGATTACAGGCGTGAGCCACTGCGCCTGGCACAGCTCTGTTTCTCTCATCTTCACCACACTGTTGCCACAGTCATCTATACAAACTGTACTAGTATTCCTATTGCTTCTGTAACAAGTTGCCACAAACTCAGTGGCTTAAAACAGCACACATTTATTCTCTTACAGTTCTAGTAGTCAGATGTTTGCAATGAAGATTTCTGCATGGCTGCATTCCTTTTGGAGGTTTCAAGGCAAAATCTTTTTCCTTGCCTTTTCCCGTTTCTAAAGACTGCCTACATTCTTGGACTCATGGCTTCATCGTTCCAACTGCTGGTTCTGTTGTCACAACTCCTTTTTCTGACTGTCTGACTCTGACTCTCTTGCCTTCCTCCTTTTTTTTTGAGATGGAGTTTTTCTCTTGTTGCCCAGGCTGGAGTGCAATGGTGCAATCTCGGTTCACTGCAACCTCCACCTCCTGGGTTCAAGTGATTCTCCTGCCTCAGCCTCCCAAGTAGCTGGGATTACAGGCATGCACCACCATGCCTGGCTAATTTTCATATTTTTAGTAGAGATGGGATTTCACCATGTTGGCCAGGCTGGTCTCGAACTTCTGACATCAGGTGATCCACCCACCTCAGCCTCCCAAAGTGCTGGGATTATAGGTGTGAGCCACTGCACTCAGCCACCTTCTTCCTTTTAAGCACCCTTGTGATTATATAAACCCCTACCAGATAATCCAGGATAATCTCCCCTACTCAAAATCCTGAACTTAATCACATCTGCCAAGTCCCTTTTACCATGAATGTCTGGTAACATAATCACTGCCTGGGGATTAAGGCCTGTGGACATCTTTGGGGGCAGTTATTCTGCCTACTACATGGACCATCTTTGACTTTCTTACCTCCCACTCACTTTTCTTTTTTCTTTTTCTTCTTCTTCTTTTTTTTTTTTTTTTTTTTTTGAGGTGGAGATTATCTCTTGTTGCCCAGGCTGCCATGCAATGGCGCAGTCTCAGCTCACTGCAAACCCTGCCTCCCAGATTCAAGTCATTCAGCTGCTTCAGCCTCCTGAGTAACTGGGATTACAAGCACCTGCCACCACGCCCGGCTAATTTTGTATTTTTAGCAGAGACGGGGGTTTTCCATGTTAGTCAGGCTGGTCTTGAACTCTCGATCTCAGGTGATCTGCCTGCCTCAGCCTTCCAAAGTGCTGGGATTACAAGTGTGAGCCACAACACCTGGCCCCTCCACTCACTTTTCAACCTTTTCCAAACATGCTTCTGTCCCACACCCCATTCCATATGGTTTCAAAATGGTTCTTGAGGGCCTCCATGTTGCTGAAACCATGGGGTTGTTCTAACTGTCCTTCTTCTTGACCTTTTGGCACTGTAGACCAAACAGCTTGAGACATGGGCAGGCAGCCTGGAGGACCAGAGCATTTGGGCGATGGCTGGTCCTCATGAGCCTGTCCTGCTGTCACCCAGCAGCCCATCCTCGTGGGACTGAGGCTGGCTACAGAAGGCATTCCGCACCCCCTTGCTCCATGAGTTACCCAAGGCTCTGTGTGCCTAGGCTTTCTTTATTGTTTAAAAGTGTAGGTCAGATAACTGCAGGTGAAGTTTTCTTAAACATTTTTGTTTACATATCCAAAGTGGATAACTGGGTGAGCTTTCACAAAGTAAAACACATGCACACCATGCAGATCAAGGAACAGGGCATGGCCATCTCGCCTGAGCTCCTCGTTCTCCTCTCCCTTACGCTAGCTCCTCTCCTCCCAAAGGTAATGCTATCCTGGGTATAGGGATTTTTTTTTCCTTTTAAATAGACTTAATGTGTTAGAGAAGTTCTAGGTTCATAGAGAAATGGAGCAGAGGCCAGCTGCTGTGGCTCACACGTGTAATCCCAGCACTTTGAGAGGCCGAGGCGGGCAGATCACGAGGTCAGGAGTTCGAGACCAGCCTGACCAACATGATGAAACCCCGTCTCTACTAAAAATACAAAAAATTAGCCAGGCGTGGTGGTGCATGCC
The DNA here is from genome assembly GCF_000001405.40 of Homo sapiens. Classification (NCBI taxonomy): domain Eukaryota; kingdom Metazoa; phylum Chordata; class Mammalia; order Primates; family Hominidae; genus Homo; species Homo sapiens. The sequence goes on along the minus strand of NC_000003.12, from coordinate 130,067,200 downwards.
TGTAATCCTAGCTACTTGGGAGGCTGAGGCAAGAGAATTGCTTGAACCTGGGAGGTGGAGGATGCAGTGGGCTGAGATCTTACCACTGTATTCCAGCCTGGGTGAAAAAGAAAGAAAAACACAAAGGAGAGAGAGAAAGAAAGAAAGGAGGGAAGGAGGGAGGGAAGGAAGGAAGGAAGGAAAGAAGGAAGGAAGAAGGAAGAAAGGAAGGAAGGGAAAAGGAAAGAAAGAGAAAAGAAAAGAAAGAAAGAAAAATGGAGCAGAAAGTACAGAGTTTTCATCAACCTCTACTCCCACCTGCCACACACACACACATGCGCAGCTTCCCCACTAGCAATATCAAACCTGAGTGGGATATTTGTCATAATCAATAAACCTACATTGACACATCACTATCACCCAGAGTCCATAGTTTACATGAGGGCTCACTCTTGGTGTTGTACATTGCGTGGGTTTGGACATATGGACAATGACGTGGATCCACCATTGTAGTATCACGCAGAGTAGTTTCACTGCCCTAAAAATCCTCTGTCTTTCACCAATTCATTCCTCCTTTCTGCTGACCTCTGGCAACCATGGATATTTTCACTGTCTCCATAGTTTTGCTTTATCCAGAATGTCATAGTTGAAATCATAGAGTGTGCGGCCTTTTCAGATGGGCTTCGTTCACTTAGGAATATGCATTTAAGGTTTCTCCATGCCTTTTTGTGGTTAGATAGCTCATTTCATTTTAGTGCTAAATAACATTCCATTGTCTGGATGTGGGCCTAGGTTTCTTTGTTGTTGTTGTTGTTGTTTTTTAAGATGGGGTTTTGCTCTGTTTCCCCAGCTGGAGTGCAGTGGCACAATCTCATCTCACTGCAGCCTCCACCTCCAGGGTTCAAGCAATTCCCCCACCTCAGCCTCCAGCGTAGCTGGAATTACAGGGGCGTGCCACCACACCCGGCTAATTTTTTGCATTTTTAGTAGAGATGGAATTTCACCATGTTGGCCAGGCTGGTCTCGAACTCCTGACCTCAGGTGATACATCCGCCTCAGCCTCCTAAAGTTTTGGGATTACAGATGTGAGCCACAACACCTGGCCGGGCCTAGGTTTTTGAAGAAGGAATTGAACTGGGTGTAGGCCAGGTTGTACTGCTGAAGTGTCTTCTTTGTACTTGGAATGTGCTAGGACAGATAGACTTCAAAGTGCAAAGCGCCTGAAGGATCTGGCATTAGTCAATTCTATGCACTGAGCTTCTGTCCCCAGAATACCACTCTCAGAGTAAGAATATGGCAAGGCCGGTTGGCTAGGTGGGGCATGGATTGGAGGCTCAGGCCACTGCACTGCACATACAGGTCTTGATGTAAACGGTCTGGTGGAGGTCAATTTCTGTTTAGCGGGGATAGACTATGTGACAGAGTGAAGAAAGGTAATGGTCTACACGTAGAAAAAGATTCATTCCCACTCATGTGACAGTCTGGAGCAGGCAGCTCCTCTCCTCCTGAACCTGGGACCCAGGTATCTTCCATGTTGTGGCTCTGCTTCTCCAGAGCCTTGTCATTTTTTTCATCTAGCTATAGTGACAAGGTCTTTTGGATGAGCCGTCAATATTAAACCAAAGGCAAACTCTGAAAATTGATTTGACGTGTGGTCAGCTGCTCATCTAGCACAGTGTCAGGACTGCTGGGGTGATGGACAAGGTTTTCATGAGGAGGCTGAAGAGATCTAAGTATAGAGGTGCCAGCCTGGGGCACTTCAGAAGGGGCACTGGCCTAGGGGTAGCATCAGGGTGATCCTGATTTCCCTGGGGCAGGGTGTGGCTCACGACGGGGTGCTGAGAACCCATCAAGAAGGCTGGAACTTTCACTACTCATTGCTTTATGAGGGCCTGCCTGTGTGCCAGGCAGGAAGACACTGACCAGAGGCCCAGGGCCACTGAAGGGTCTCGGCCTGGTCTCTTGGTGCCTGGGGGGTACACTGTACAAGCGATGATGTAGTTCCAAGGGGCAGGATTCTGACCCACACTCCTGGTGCCAGTGTCCATTTTGCGACTCATGTTAGATTTTGCTTCTCTAAGTGAACTTACTCAGGATAGCTGGGTTCTTGGCCATTCTTCCAGTGGTTTTCAAGGGTGAAAAAAGGCATTTCAGCAAGACAGCTAACGTCTGGATGAGCGAGCCAGGAAGTGTCTGTAGCCTTCCTCTAGAGAGCACTCTGGACTGGTGGGCATGAGGACCCCAGTTTCATGCGCGTCCGCGTGAAGAGACCACCAAACAGGCTTTGTGTGAGCAACATGGCTGTTTATTTCACCGGGGTGCAGGCGGGCTGAGTCTGAAAAGAGAGTCAGGAAAGGGAGATAGGGGTGGGGCCGTTTTATAGGATTTGGGAAGGTAAAGGAAAATTACAGTCAAAAGGGGGTTGTTCTCTGGTGGGCAGTGTGGGGTCACAAGGTACTCAGTGGGGGAGGTTTTGAGCCAGGATGAGCCAGGAGAAGGAATTTCACAAGACAATGTCATCAGTTAAGGCAGAAACAGACCAATTTCACTTGTTTTGTGGTGGAATGCCTCAGTTAAGGCAGGAACCGGCCATCTGGATGTGTACGTGCAGGTCACAGGGGATATGATGGCTTAGCTTGGGCTCAGAGGCCTGACATTCCTGTCCTCTTATATTAATAAGAAAAATAAAAGGAAATAGTGGTAAAGTGTTGGGACAGCGAACATTTTTGGAGATGGTATGGAGAGATAATGGACGATGTTTCTCAGGGCTGCTTCGAGCGGGATTAGGGGCGGCGTGGGAACCTAGAGTGGGGGAGATTCAGCTGAAGGCAGATTTTGTGGTGAGGGGTGATATTGTGGGGTTGTTAGAAGGAACATTTGTCATTTAGAATTATTGGTGATGGCCTGGATACAGTTTTGTATGAATTGAAAAACTAAATGGAATAAGAGAAGGAGACAAACAGGTATAAAAGGTCTAAGAATTGGGAGGACCTAGGACATCTGATTAGAGAGTGCCTAAGGAGATTCAGCATAGTCCTGTCAGCAAAGATTATTTATTTAGTTCAAGAGTTAAGGGTGGCAGTTTGGGGATAGCACCAGGAGATATCAGTTGTGATAGCTTGGAGAAACAGTGTAAACCGGCAGTGTAAACAAGAGCAGGGCATGTATGAGTAGTTGAGAACAGTGAATAGGAGTATGACTAGACAGAAGATAGTAGGGATGACAAGTTTTTCTGGGGCACAGTCTAAGTTGGTCTGGTGTCTGGAATGAGACTGGGGCCTAATAAAAAGGAGCATCTATACAGGAGCTCCAATGGGCTGTATTTTGTAACATTCTGAGGACAGGTCTGACTTCTGAGAAGGGAAAGTGGTAAAAGTATTGTCCAGTCCTTTTTAAGTTGCTGACTGAGCTTGGTGAGGTGTGTTTTTAAAAGACCTTTAGTCCGTTCTACTTTTCCTGAAGACGGAGGACCGTAAGGGATATAAAGGTTTCACTGAATACTAAGAGCCTGAAAAACTGCTTGGCTGATTTGACTAATAAAAGCTGGTCTGTTATCAGACTGTATAGAGGTGGGAAGGCTAAACTGAGGAATTATGTCTGACAGAAGGGAAGAAATGACTGTGATGGCCTTCTCAGACCCTGTAGGAAAGGCCTGTACCTATCCAGTGAAAGTGTCTGCCTAGACCAAGAGGTATTTTAGTTATCTGACTCGGAACATGTTGAGTAAAGCTAATTTACCAGTCCTGGGTGGGGGCAAATCCCTGAGCTTGATGTGTAGGGAAAGGAGGGGGCCTGAATAATCCCTGAGGAGTAGTAGAATAGCTGATGGAACACTGAGAAGTTATTTCCTTGAGGACAGATTTCCATGATGGAAAGGAAATGAGAGGTTCTAAGAGGTGGGCTAGTGGCTTGTACTATAGCTTATCCTGCATTTCCTGGTGTGTGGCGATTAGGCCTGGTGGAACTGCCATCAATAAATCAAGCGTGATCAGGGTGAGGAACAGGAAAGAAGGAAATGTGGGGAAATGGGGTGAACATCAGGTGGATCAGAGAGATGCAGTCATGGGGGTCAGGTGTGGTATCAGGAATAATGTGGGAGGCTAGACTGAAGTCCGGGCCAGGAATGATGGTAATTGTGGGACTTAACAAAGAGTGAGTACAGCTGAAGGAGCCGGGCCACCAGAAAGTATATGCATCAGGTATGAGGAAGAAAATAGATTTTGGAAGTTATGAGAAATGTGGAGAGTGAGTTGAGCATAGTTTGTGATTTTTAGGGCCTCTAAAAGTATTAGGGTGGCAGCAGCCACTGCACAGAGACATGATGGCCAGCCTAAAACAGTAAGGTCAAGTTGTTTGGACAGAAAGGCTACAGGGTGCAGTCCTGGCTCTTGTGTAAGAATTCTGACCGCACTAAGCATGCCTAGGAAGGAAAGGAGTTGTTCTTTTGTAAGGGATTGAGGTTTGGGAGATTAATCAGACACGATCAGCAGGGAGAGCACGTGTGTTTTTATGAGAATTATGCTGAGATAGGTAACAGATGAGGATGAAATTTGGGCTTGACTGAAGTAATGGGGGCTGTCTGTGAAGGCTTGTGGCAGTACAGCCCAGGTAATTTGCTGAGCCTGATGGGTGTCAGGGTCAGTCCAAGTGAAAGCGAAGAGAGGCTGGGATGACGGGTGCAAAGGAATAGTAAAGAAAGCATGTTTGAGATCCAGAACAGAATAATGGGTAGTAGAGGGAGGTATTGAGGATAGGAGAGTATATGGGTTTGGCACCATGGGGTGGATAGGCAAAACAATTTGGTTGATAGGGCGCAGATCCTGAACTAACTTGTAAGGCTTGTCTGGTTTTAGAACAGGTAAAATGGGGGAATTGTAGGGAGAGTTTATAGGCTTTAAAAGGCCATGCTGTAGCAGGCGAGTGATAACAGGCTTTAACCTTTTTAAAGCATGCTGCGGGATGGGATATTGGCATTGAGTGGGGTAAGGGTGATTAGGTTTTAGTGGGATGGTAAGAGGTGCATGATCGGTCGCCAAGGAGGGAGTAGAGGTATCCTATACTTGTGGGTTAAGGTGGGGTAATACAAGAGGAGGATGTGAAGGAGGCTTTGAACTGGGGGAAAACGTGGCAATGAGGTGTGGCTGTACCCAGGAATAGTCAGGGAAGCAGATAATTTAGTTAAAGTGTCTTGGCCAAATAAGGGAACTGGGCATGTGGGGATAACTAAAAAGGAGTGTTTAAAAGAGTATTGTCTAAGTTGGCACTAGAGTTGGGGAGTTTTAAGAGGTTTAGAAGCCTGGCCGTCAATACCCACAACAGTTATGGAGGCAAGGGAAACAGGCCCTTGAAAAGAAAGTAGTGTGGAGTGGGTAGCCTCCATATTGCTTAAGAAGGGGACGGACTTATCTTCCACTGTGAGAGTTACCTAAAGCTCGGCATCCATGATGGTCTATGGGGCTTCCGAGGCAATTAGGCAGCGTCAGTCTTCAGCCACTAAGCTGAGAAGGGGTCAGTCAGAGAAGCTTGGGCCAGAGTTCCAGGGGCTCTGGGAGCAGCTGCCAGGTGAGTTGAACAGTCCGATTTCCAGTGGGGTTCCGCACAGATGGGACGTGGCTTAGGAGGAATCCTGGGCTGCAGGCATTCCTTGGCCTGGTGGCCAGATTTCTGACACTTGTAGCAAGCTCCTGGGGGAAGATGTTCTGGAGGAACACCTGGCCACTGCGGTTCAGGCGTTTGGAAGTTCTCGTGTGCTGGAGATGTGGCTGGGATTTGTCTCAGAGTGGAGGTAAGGAATTACAACTTTTTTCTATTATTGTACATCTTGAAGGTGAGGTTAATTAAATCCTGTTGTGGGGTTTGAGGACCAGAATTTAATTTTTGGAGTTTTATTTAATGTCGGGAGTAGATTGGGAAATAAAATGTATATTTAGAATAAGACAGCCTTTTGACTTTTTAGGGTCTAGGGCTGCAAAGCGTCTCAGGGTTGCTGCTGAACAAGCCATGAACTGGGCTGGATTTTTATATTTGATGAAAAAGAGGCTAAATGCTATCTGATTTGGGATAAAGAAAAAGGAGCATTATCCTTGACTATGTCTTTAGCTCCAGGCACCTGTTTAAGAGCAAATTGCTGGGCAGCTTGGGGAGGGCTAGTCATGAAATGAAACTGTAAGCCGGACCCGGGGTGAGGAGGGGAGGTGAAAAAAGGATTATAGAGTGGAGGAGTGGAGGCGGAAGAAGAATTGGGACTTAGCTTGGCCTGGCGAGGAGCAGCCTGGGGAGGAGGGGAGAGGTCAGATGGGTCTGTAGAAAAGGAAGATTAGAAAGACTCAGCAATGCTTGGGTTTGGGACTGAGGGGACAGGCGGGAGGGAAAGGAGGAAGATTTGGGACGAGTTGCTTTGGGCACAGAGACTAGGAAGGGACTGATGTGTAAAAGAATGTCTGGAAGTCAGGCACCTCAGACAGTTTGCTTATTTTACGGCAATAATTATTTAGATCTTACAGGATGGAAAAATTGAAAGTGCCGTTTTCTGGCTATTTGGAACTACTGTTGAGTTTGTATTGGGGTCAAGCAGCATTGCAGAAGAAAATAAGATGCTTAGATTTTAGGTCAGGTGAGAGTTGAAGAGGTTTTAAGTTCTTAAAAATACAGGCTAAGGGAGAAGAAGGAGGAATGGAGGGTGGAAGGTTGCCCATAGTGTAGGAAGCAAGCCCAGAGAAAAGAGAGAGTAGAGACACGGAGGGAAGGGGTTCAGGGGTTCTTACCCTACAGAAAAGTGGGAAAGGGGTCGGGGCACAGAGATACGAGGTCCAGGCATGGAAATAAGGGATTGGGGTGCAGAGATATAAGAGGTCAGGGTGTGGAAATAAGGGATTGGGGCACAGAGAAAAGGGGCCAGTGTGCAGAAATAAGGGATTGGGGTGCAGAGATACGAGGTTGGGGTACTTGTACCTCCCCCAGAAAAGTGGGACTTGCCACTAAGGGTGAAGGAGAAGGGGTTGGGGGTTTCTTGCCCCCCTGAAAGGTGGAGAAGGGGTAGAGACATGGAGAGAAGGGGTTGGGGTGCTTGCACCTCCCCCAGAAAAGCAGGACTTGCCACTAAGGGTGAAGGAGAAGGGGTTGAGGGGTATTTGCCCCTCCCCCAGAAAAGCAGAGAAGGGGTAGAGACATGGAGAGAAGGGGTTGGGGTACTTGTCCCTCCCTCAGAAAAGCGGGACTTGCCACTAAGGGTGAAGGACCAAGGCAGGCGTCCCTGGGTGGTCTGACACCTTTGAAACGTGGTTGAATAATCAGAGAGGCATCCCTGTAATGATTAAACACCAAGGGAAATCTGCCTTCGCAGTCCATGACCGGTGCCAGAGTTTTGGGTCCACGGATAAAACGTGTCTCCTTTGTCTCTACCAGAAAATGAAAGGAATTGAAATTAAGAGAATGGAGAGATTGAAGACTGGAAAGGAGAAAGTGGTTGATGGACAGGGAGAGGTTGGAGAAGAGAGTAAGAAGAGGCTGCTTACCGGATTTAAAATTGGTGAGATGTTCCTTGGGCTGCTGGGTCTGAGGACCTGAGGTTGTAGGCGGATCTTTTTCATGGAGCAAAGAACAGGAGGACATGGGATTGATCTCCCAAGGGAGGCCCCCCATCCGAGTCACAGCACCAAATTTCATGTGCGTCCATGTGAAGAGACCACCAAACAGACTTTGTGAGCAACATGGCTGTTTATTTCACCTGGGTGCAGGTGGGCTGGGTCTGAAAGAGAGTCAGCAAAGGGAGATAGGGGTGGGGCCATTTTATAGGATTTGGGTAGGCAAAGGAAAATTACAGTCAAAGGGGGTTTGTTCTCTGGCAGGCAGAGTGGGGGTCAGAAGGTACTCAGTGGGGGAGGTTTTGAGCCAGAATGAGCCAGGAGAAGGAATTTCACAAGACAATGTCATCAGTTAAGGCAGGAACAGACCATTTTCACTTCTTTTGTGGAGGAATGTCATCAGTTAAGGCAGGAACAGACCATTTTCACTTCTTTTGTGGAGGAATGTCATCAGTTAAGGCAGGAACCAGCCATCTGGATGTGTATGTGCAGGTCACAGGGGATATGATGGCTTATCTTGGGCTCAGAGACCTGACACCCAGGGCAGGCTGGCTCAGCCCCTTTGACTTCAGATTTCAGGGAATGCCAGGGAGCTGGATTGGGTGCCTGGATTTTCTGAGAATTATATTTCTGAGAGGATGTTGAAACCTAAACGGGAATACTTTACACACAGGTCATCAGGCAGGAACTGGGAAGTTCTGAAGCTGCCCTCCTTCACACCACCTCCTCCCTTCAGAGACCAAGGGCTGCCAAGCTGTCTCCCACACACCTCAGTGAAAACTTCCTGGCTCTCCTCCCAGCCACCTCGCTGTGACCTCGTGAGGTGTCAGAAGGAGGAAGGGGATCTACGTTCTGGATGAACCTTCCTTCCTCCTTGCCGAGAAATAGTTTAGGCCCCTGCGCCTGCTGGGCCTCAGACCTTCTCAGAGCCCAGGGCCCACTCTGGCTCCTGCAAGCTGCCTGGGAATTCCACGGAGGCTGACTGGCTGCCTGTCTTATTCCCAGTCTGCTGCAACCCATTTCCTAAGCTTGGGTGGCTGAAAACAACAGAAATTCATCCTCTCACAGTTCTGGAGGCCAGAGGCTGAATGCAGGTGTTGGCAGGGCTGTACTGCCTTTGAAGGTTCTAGGGAAGAATCCTTCCTGACTTTTTCTAGTTTTGGATGGTGGCCGGCAATGCACGGCATTCCTTGGCTTCAGATGCATCATTCCAGCTGCACACAGCTGTCTTCCCTCTGAGTCTCTTCTTTTCTTCTTATAAGGATACCAGTCATAGGGTGTGAAGGGCCCACCTTACTCCAGTATGTCGCCAAGTTAATTCGTTACATCTGCAACCTCCCAATTTCCAAATGTCACATTCTGAGGTTCCTGATTGAAGGGGTGGGTTGCCCCTCCACACCTGTGGGCGTTTCTCGTTAGGTGGAATGAGAGACCTGGAAAAGAAAGAGACACAGAGACAAGGTATAGAGAAAGAAAATAGGGCCCAGGGGACCGGCGTTCAGCATATGGAGGACCCATGCCGGTCAGGCTGCCACCGGCCTCTGAGTTCCCTTAGTATTTATTGACAATTATCAGGCGTTTCCCGGAGAGGGGGATTTGGCAGGACAATAGGGTAATAGCGGAGAGAAGGTCAGTAGGAAAACACGTCAACAAAGCTCTCTGCATCTTAAACAAGGTAAAGAATTAAGTGCTGTGCTTTTGATGTGCATACACATAAACATCTTAATCCATTAAAGAGCAGTATTGCTGCCAGCATGTCCCACCTCCAGCCCTAAGGTGGTTTTCCCTTATCTCAGTAGAAGGAATATACAATCGGGCTTGACACCAAGACGTTCCATTGCCCAGGGAGAAGCAGGCGACAGATGCCTTCCTCTTATCTCAACTGCAAAGAGGCCTTCCTCTTTCACTAATCCTCCTCAGCAAAGATGCTTTACGGGGTGTCGGGCTGGGGGACAGTCAGGTCTTTCCCTTCCCAGGAGGCCATATATCAGGCTATCACATGGGGAGAAACCTTGGACAATACCTGGCTTTCCCAGGCAGAGGTCCCTGTGGCCTTCAGCAGTGTTTTGTGTCTCTGGGTACTTGAGATTAGGGAGTGGTGATGACTCTTAACAAGCATGCTGCCTTCAAGCATTTGTTTAACAAAGCACACCCTGCACAGCCCTTAATCCATTTAACCCTGAGTTGACACAGCACATGTCTCAGAGAGCACAGGGTTGGGGGTAGGGTTACAGATTAACAGCATCTCAAGACAGAAGAATTTTTCTTAGTACCTAACAAAATGGAGTCTCTTATTTCTACTTTCTACACAGACACAGTAACAATCTGATCTCTCTTTCTTTTCCCCACATTGATAAACATGAATTTGAGAGGACACCATTCAACCCACAGCAGAGCCCCACCATCACCTCTCTGCACAGGGCACCCTGCCTGTCTTTCCTCTCCAGCACCAACACAGAGCCAAGAGTGATTTCTTGAAATGAAACTGCATCCTCTCATCCCAATAAGGCATGGCCTCACTAGTGGGAGATGAGCAAATGAAAGCCTCCCTCAGGATGGGCATCCACACATCCAGGGGATACTCACCCCAATTTTTTTTTCCCGGTTTATAAAGGTGCTCAGGACTTCTTGGTTCCTGGCCAATACCTTAGTGCTTCCTGAAGGGGAAAGAGCCCTCCAAACCATTCAGTAGGCCATCCCAGACCAAGGTTTCTGACCCATACATTGAAACAGGAGGAGTACCCTTATCCCCCTTGCAGGGCATGCTACTGGGGCATGGCTCACTTCTCAGTATCCTGCTGCTCAAACCCCTAGAGGGAGCGTGCAGACGGGCAGGTCGTTGGGAGCGTTTCTGGGCTCTGGCCCCACAGCAGCTTGTGGAATTGGGTGTTTACAGCTCCCGAAGCCCCAGTGGGCATGTGTTACAGTGGTCTCCTTCAGTTTTGCCATCTGCAGGTGGCTTGTGTTAATCAGCTCAATTAGGCCCTCTGCCTTATCACAAAGACAGAGGGCTTTCTGTATCCCAGGTTCTTGCCCTAGTGTACTTGAAAAATCAGATCACACGTGGACTTGGAGAATGAATGCAAGATTTTATTGAGTGGAGGAGGTGGCTCTCAGATGGATGGGGAGCCAGAAGGGGGATGGAGTGGGAAGGTGGTCTTCCCCTAGAGTCTAGCAGCCCGACTCTCCACCAACCACCCCCAACTGAATTCCACATCTCCCCACTGTCAAAAGCCTGCCAGCATCTGCTGATGTCTGTCGGTGTCCTCTTCTGCTTCTCTGCTCCTCTTGATGTCCAGCCACTTTTGTCTGTGCCCACTAGGGTCTTGGGTTTTTTATGGGCACAGGATGGGGGTCATAGCAGGCCAGAGTAGTCTTGGAAAATGCAACATTTGGACATGAAAACAGGAGTGCCTGTTCTCACTAAGGTCCAAGGGCACAAGCCCGAGGGCAGAGCCCTCGCGAGGGTCCCCACCCTTCTCTACCCAGCACTCCCCTGCCCCCCTTCCATATCAAAATTAAAGCTGACATTGGCTCCTGTGTCTCACCTCTGGGCCTGGTTTTGTGACCTCTGCACCAGAGCTGCTAGGGAGGCCCTACCCCACATGTTGTTAACTCAACAGTCCTTCCCCAGGGGAACCAACATCCTCCTGTCCCCAAACCCAAGGAGGATTGGTGGGTTCCTGGGCCTTTTGTAACCCGACTGAATATTTTCTAGGTTACCTAACCAAACTCCTGCAAAAACACACCATCTATGCCTGTGATGGGGACTATCTGAATCTACAGTGCCCTCGGCATTCTACAATAAGTGTTCAATTGGCATTTTATGGGCAAGATTACCAAATGTGTAGTTCCCAGAAGCCTGCCTCCCAGAGGGAAGACAGCTTAACCTGTGTGGCATCCACCACCTTCCAGGTATTGCCTTTTATAGACACGTTAAGATGATACAGTTTCAACAGACACTCTTTCTCTCTCTCTAGGTATAAATATATTTGTGATTATATAGTTCAATCCAAGCAAAACTGATCCATGAAAAATCCCAACTTATACAGATCACCAGTTTTGTAGGTGAGCTGTTATTTGCTTCTCAAAGGATTTGTTACCCAACAAAACTAAATAGAATTCCTACCTATTGTAGAGCCCCCTTTGTACACTTCAATATGAATGTATTTGTAGGTTTACTCCTTACTTCAGTATAGCAAAGTACAACCAGGATAGATTCCAACCTCCAGGCCCATATCTCCCATAAATACTCCTGTAGAAAGGGAAAGTGGGTTCTTTAATGGAAACCACAAGTATCTCTTTGAGGCAGACGTCTGAACTCATGACCAACTTCTTAGAAAATGTACTCAAAGGGCCAGGCGTGGTGGCTCATGCCTGTAATCCCAGCACTTTGGGAGGCCAAGGCAGGTGGATCACGAGGTCAGGAGATTGAGACCATCCTGGCTCACACGGTGAAACCCTGTCTCTACTAAAAATACAAAAAATTAGCCAGGTGTTGTGGTGGGCACCTGTAGTCCCAGCTACTCCAGAGGCTGAGGCAAGAGAATGGCATGAACCCGGGAGGTGGAGCTTGCAGTAAGCAGAGGTCAGGCCACGGCACTCCAGCCTGGGCAACAGAGCGAGACTCTGTCTCAAAAAAAAAAAAAAATTCAAATCATTATTAAACATTTTTACTAATTAAATGGTTTTGGAGAACATTCTTTAAAAAAAATTACGTTTTCTTCAACAGTGCATATGTAATGCCAACTTTGTATGACATTGCAAAGAAAGATTTTACTATGTTAAGCAGATTAAACAAATTTTCCTTGAATTCTTTGGGAACAAAGTACAACCTGGTCCAAAACATCCTAACCTAGAATGCACCATCAGCTTGACAGTCAGTTGTTCCTGGATTTACCAGATTTGGGGCAGACTTTTCATGCTTCTCTAAGGAGGGATTCTTAACTGACACCGTCCCTTGTTTTTGCCCTTTTCCTAGTAAAGGAAATGATTTGATTTGGTATCATATCATCTTTCTTGTTTTTTTTTTTTTTTTAAATTAGAGATGAGGCCTTGCTGTGTTTCCCAGACTGGTCTCCAAATTCTGGGCTCAGGCAATCCTCCTGCCTCAGCCTCACTCCCAAAATGCTGGGATTACGGGTGTGAGCCACTGTGCCTGGCCTCTTTCTTGTCTTTTAAACAAATAAATGTAAGCTGGGCATGGTGTACATTCATATATTCCCAGGTACTTGAGAAGCTGAGGCGAGAGGATCCCTTGAGCCTAGGTTTGAGCCCAAGAGTTCAAGGCTGCAGTGAGCTATGATTGCACCACTGCACTCCAGCCTGGGTAATAGAGTGAAACCCTGTCTCTGAAAAACTAAACTAATGCTGGGCGTTGTGGTTCAAGCCTGTAATCCCAGCACTTTGGGAGGCCGAGGCGGGCGGATCACGAGGTCAGGAGATCGAGACCATCCTGGCTAACAAGGTGAAACCCCATCTCTACTAAAAGTACAAAATTATTTGGGCATGGTGACGTATGCCTGTAATCCCAGCTACTTGGGAGGCTGTGACAAGGAGAATCACTTGAACCTGGTAGGTGGAGTTGGCAGTGAGCTGAGATCTCACCACTGCACTCAGCTTGGGTGAGAGGGGTGAAACTCTGTCTCAAAAAAAAAAAAAAAAAAAAAAAAAAGACACGGTCCTGTTTTCATGGGGTGAACAGTGGAGGGAGAAAGGCAAGCATTAACCAAATAGCCAGACACATCATCATGCCCTATTGTGACAAATGCTATTTTAGAAAAGGGAAGAAGACTATAGCAGTGGAGGGGGCCTAATTTAGCTTGGGTTGGTGGTTTAAGTCTTCCAAAGAGAAGCATCCTGTAGGGTGAACACTAGCGTATGCACACTAGCTGCACACTAGGGGCTGACACACTGAGGCTGCTGAGTGGGAGAGGAAAGGTGTTGATGAGGAGGAAGATGGCCCTGGTTTAAACTGTTGAGAACAGGGTCCTGCACACAGTAGGAGCTCCATGAAGAGTGGTTCCTAGTGTTTTTGCCAACATATCTGAAGTGGAGCAGGATGGTGATCAATCACACCCCAGTCCCCGACCTCATTCTAAAACAGTTTGAAACAAGGAGATGCAAAAATCTGACAAGTGTGTTGACAATGGTGATTTTAAAGGTCCTAAAAGATTCTCTGGATATCAGAGCCAATTTCACTTAGTAGAGGGGCACATTCCCTGCAGTGGCCTGTGTCATACACAGCCAATTTAACCTTTTTACTGCCTGGTTACTCTGCAAAGTGCACCCTAGAATGACCTTCCTCTCTGAGCTCCTCTTCAAAATTCTGATTCTTTCTCAAACTATAAAGCCTCTGGCATTTGCCAAGAGCCAAGGCCCTCCTGAAGCCACAGTTTGAGAACAAGCCAAGAGGCAGACATGACAAAGAAGTCCCACCCCTGGCAGGGAGAGCTGACACTTCCCGGGCTACTGCATCCTTCTCAGGGCTCAGAAATGAATGAGAGGTAATTAAAGCAGAAAGCATTTTGCAGCAGCTCAGCTCAGCTCTCCGAAGCTGCCATGGTCCCAGGATCAGTGGTGTGCCCTGAGGACAGCCAAGGGACATTCCTCGAGGCCCTGGAAATCATCAGCCACCTCCAGCAACTTCACCGGGCCTCCCTGGGAAGTCTCCCTTGCTGCTGATGGGCACGAAGGCACCAGGGCCTCCTGTACATGGAAAACTCACAATCTAGGAATGTCCTGTGGTTGTTGATCCTGGGACATCCCCAGAAGAATTTAGTTAAGCCCTCCAAGAAAGGAAACAAGGTTTTCTTGCTGCTGAAGATGTCTCACTTGTTCTTTTTTAAAAAAGCAGTGCAATTGAATTTGCAGTTTGTTTTTGCTTTCTTTCCATTTCCTGTTGCTACTTCTCCAAGATCTCAGCTGGGCTGAGGAACAAACAAAAATAAGCAATTTTATGCAGGAGGAATATTCAGTTTCCACTCCCTTCTTCCAGCCTGCGGCAGTGTGCTTGGCCTGCAGAATTCCTGCTCTGCCCTCTGTTTCAGCGAGTGTTGTCATCTGCCAGCTGCTTTGCCTGGGGGTTCTGACATCCCAGGGCTTATTCTTAGCATCAGTTCAGCAGAGTCTTAAACCACCTTCAAAGGAGTCGGTCATGCTGCCATCCTCTCTGCATCTTTCTGTAGTCCTTTCTGATAATATTTAGCAAATCACTTTAGCACAGAGTCTTCGAATTCTTTCCAGATTTACGATGGAAACACAGAGGCAAAGAGCTTGGGGTAGAAAGCAGAATAGCAGGTGCTGGGAGAGTTTAATGGTGGATTTTGAGTTGGTCACAGTCATTTTGCTTTACTAAGTCCAGGGAAGCTCATCTTCAGAGTTAACCACTGTGTGTGTGTGTATATATATATATATATATATATATATTTTTTTTTTTTTTTTTGAGATGGAGTCTTGCTCTGTCACCCAGGCTGGAGTGCAGTGGCACACTCTCAGCTCACTGCAACCTCCACTTCCTGGGTTCAAGTGAGCACATCCGGCTAATTTTTGTATTTTTTAGTAGAGACGGGGTTTCACCATGTTGGCCAGGCTGGTCTTGAACTCCTGACTCAAATGATCCACCTGCCTCAGACTCCCAAAGTGCCAGGATTACAGGCATGAGCCACCATGCCCAGCCCAGAGTTAACCACTCTATTGAGGTGTTGTTTATTTTGCTTAAAATTCTATTACACGTGAATACAATTCAATGATTTTTAGTAAATTTAGAGTTGTGCAACCATCACTACCCTCCAGTTTTAAAACATTTTCACAATCCCCCGAAGCTCTCTTATGCCCATTTGCCATAACTGCCCCATTCCTAACCCCCCGGTCCCAGGTAACCACACATCTACTTTCTCTCTAGATTTGCCTTTTCTGAATATTTCATACAAATGGAATTATGCAATGGATGGTTTTGTGTGTGTGTGCATGGCTGACTTCTTTAACTGAATGTAATGTTTCAGAGGTTCATCCACGTTGTAGCATGTATCATATCAGTACTTCATTTTTTTTTTTTAGAGTTGAAGTCTCACGCTGTCACCCAGGCTGGAATGCAGTGGTGCGATGTTCGCTCACTGCAACCTCTGCCTCCCGGGTTCAAGCAATTCTCCCTGCCTCAGCCTCCCAAGTAGCTGGGATTACAGCCGTGTGCCACCAGGCCCAGCTAACTTTGTATTTTTAGTACAGACGGGGTTTCAAATATGTTGGCCAGGCTGGTCTCGAACTCCTGACCTCAAGTAATCTGTCCACCTCGACCTCCCAAAGTGCTGGGATTACAGGTGTAAGCCATCATGCCGAGCCTTCATTCCTTTTTATTACTGAGGTGAATTCTGCTGGATGGATATATCATATCTTGTTTTTATTCTCCATTTTTTAAATATTGCAAAATGGGCCTAAAACCATGTCTCTGGAGGATTTGATGATCACGTGGATAGCATTGGGTTGTGTGTATGTGTGTGTATCTAACAGGGAGAGGGAGTGACTCTTGCACCGATTTGGAAAGTGATTTTAAAATCTTATCTACATTGCATTTAAAAATCTATTAAGAGTCCACATTTTAAAAATATACCACGTATTTAAAATATTTCTTTTTGGCTTTTAGTTCCCAAGAACATGCTCATAGTGATTGATCCAGCCATTCCTAATCTAAAACCTTCTTTGAAGCAGAAAGATGGTGAATATGGTAATTTTTATGGCTTACTACCAGCATTTCTCTTTAAGTAAAGGTAAACAGCCCCTGGGTGACCACAGTTGGGCACACATTGATTAGAATGGAAGAGGCTGTCAGGAGGTGTGTTTGAGGTACCGGTCCTGGTGATGATAGTGCTTTAGCCAATAGTTGCAATGAACACCAATTTATTTTGTTTTGACTTTTTTAACATCAGAAGTAGGATAAACCTCCCCTTCATTCTCCTCTCACTTCCTAAAAGGAAAATCACTTTGAAAAGACATCTGCTCAGAAGTAAATTTGGGCTTCCTGGGTTACACAATGAGCTTTTTGCAAAGCTCAGCCCATTGGATCCTGTGTAGGCACCAGTACCGGCTAGCACCTGAGGACCTCCGTACCTCTGTACACGCCACCTTCCTCCTTAGTTTCCTTCCTTCCTTCTTTCCTTCCTTCCTTCCTTCCTTTCTCTTGCTTCGGAGTTTCACCCTTGTCACCCAGGGCCAGCTAGGACCTGAGGGCCTCCGTACCTCTGTACACGCCACCTTCCTCCTTAGTTTCCTTCCTCCCTCCCTTCCTCCCTCCCTCCCTCCCTCTCTCTCTCTTTCTCTCTCTCCCTGTTTTCTTCCTTCCTTCCTTCTTCTCCTTCTTCTTTCTTTCTTTCTCTCCCTCTGTCTCTCTTTCTTTTTTTCTGTCTCTCTTTCTTTCCCTCCCTCCCTCCGTCTCTCCCTCTCTCTCTCTTTCTTTCTTTCTTTTTCTCTTTCTCTCTCTTTCTTTCTTTCCCTCCCACCCTCCCTCTCTCCCTCTCTCTCTCTCTCTTTCTTTCTTCCTTTCTTTCTTCTTCTTCTTTGGTGTTTTGCTTTTTCTCACCCAGGCTGGAGTGCAGTGGCACAATCTCCACTCACTGCAACCTCTGCCTCCGGGTTCAAGTGATTCTCCTGCCTCAGCCTCCTAGGTAGCTGGGATTATAGGTGTCCACCACCACACCTTGCTAATTTTTGTACTTTTAGTAGAGATGGGATTTTACCATGTTAGTCAGGCTGCTCTTGAACTCCTGACCTCAGGTGTTCCCCTCACCTCAGACTCCCAAAGTGCTGGGATTACAGGTGTGAACCACTGCACCCAGCCCCTCCTTAGTTTTCACTTGGCTTTTGTAAATGGGGTGGAGGGGTGGGGGGGGTTGAGGGGGTTGAGCATTTGGATTTTCTTATCAAATCTAGAATGGAATTCAAACCCATAGGGTCCCTAATAGAAATTGCAGAGACCCAGTAGAGCATCTAAGATGTGAGGCTTTGGTGAGAGTTTTGTTTCGTGTTACCTTTATTGTATGTATTATGTCTTTCCTCCCTAAGTATAAAAGTAAAGTATGTTTGATATGAAAACCACATGAAACACCCCTAGTCCAAAAGCTCAGAGAGAACTATGGTAATGTTCTTCTGTGTCCTTCTAGCTGGCCACCTTGGCTTTCTGGCAGGCTCTGTGTTCCTTAGCTCCACTTCTCTTTCTTTTTTTAAAAAAAAAATCAACTAATTAATTAACTATTATTATTATTTTTCTAAAGACAGGGCTTTGCCAAGTTGCCCTGGCTGGTCTCGAACTCCTGGGCTAAAGCAATCCACCCACTTCATCCTTCAAAGGTGCTGGGATTACAGGCATAGGCCACCACACCCAGCCTCCACTTATTTTTCTAACAGGGTTCCCACCCAATCCATAAACAGCCTGGTCCCCCTGCAGTGGGGGCCTGAGAGCCAGCACTGTGCCATCTCTCCTCAAAGGCATCTGTCCTGTCTGACATGGCTAGGATTCCCCTAAGCCACCACCAGGCTACCCTATCATAGGCTTGCTAAGCTCCATCCAGGAGTGTAACCAGGATCTAAAAGCAAATTTGCCTCACGTTTTGCTGTTGTTTCCAAAAAAGTAGCCCAATACCACCTCCCTCTGTAATGGAGGCTTGTTTTATCTCTGGCCACAGAGCGGACAGCAACTCCATGCTTAACATGAGATATTATTGGCCGGGGGTGGTGGCTCAAGCCTGTTATCCCAGCATGATAACAGGCATTATCACATTACTTTGGGAGGCCGAGGCAGGCAGATTGCCTGAGGTCAGGAGTTCGAGACAAACCTGGCCAACGTGGGGAAGCCCCATCTCTAATAAAAATACAAAAATTTGCTGGTCATGGTGGCATGTGCCTGTAATCCCAGCTACTCAGGAGGCTGAGGCAGGACAATCGCTTGAACCCAGGAGATAGAGGTTGCAGTGAGCTGAGATCGTGCCATTGCACTCCAGCCTGGGTAACAAGAGTGAAACTTCATCTCAAAAGTAAATAAATAAATAAATAAACAATTAAAATAAAGCGAGATGTTATTAAGCTTCCAAGGGGTGTGATGAATGTCACTGTCTTTAGGATGGGAAAATTCATTTGTTCCCTTCCGCAGTGGAGTGGAAGACCAGCACCTGAAGTTGGAACCAACACTTAAAACAATTTCTAATCCTTTTTGTACTTGAATATTTTCGGGGACTCCTTACTATTTAATAAGTGCTCTTCCTGGGTTAATCTTCTATAATTTAGCCAGAGGCCCATTTGTTTGATTTCTGTGACTTTAATTATTCTGGCTGTCCCTCGGGTAGGAACAGCAGAGGTCTCTTAGAATAGGCATACTATGAACAGCTGTGATTAATTGGTTTTGCATTTTTCATGAAACAGGCATGAACTTCGACCCAAGCGAATCGAAGGTTCTGAGAAAGATGGAATTCTTGTTAGCGACTCTCTGGCAGCCTTTGCTTACATTAGAGATAGGTTAATGAATCAAAGCTTCCTAGAATGCTGATGGATTTACTAAAGTCTTGTTCATAAATGTGCTGTTCAATTATAACACTCAGAGAACTAAAGGACAATGACTTCAAGTTTGACATGCCAACCACTGCTTCTAAGATTCAGAAACACAGAGGCCTGAGTTCAGGCACAGTCGCAACCAGGCAGTCAGCAAGAGAACCACATAAACAGACAAAGTCACACTATTTAGGAGTTGAGCTCCACAGATATTGTTTGCTTTTGAAAAGTAGAAACCCGAGGAATGCATTTCCCAGCTCTAAAATTTGGGAAGGAACTAGAATTATTGAATTCCAGCCCTGGCTGGAAGAAAAATGAGCCAGAAGGTCACTTAGTAAACAAGACAGATGATGCCTCATGAAGACAGAACCACTTTCTGGGTCATGAGTGTTATTCCTAATGGTTGCCAAGGATTCCCTTGTTAGTCTTCCCCATGAGGATCAATCAAACTCAGCCCTCATGAATTAACAGAGCCAAAAGCCTTATACCAAGGCTGGCCACACCACGGGGACCTCTTCATTGAGGGGAAGGTATGTACAATTTTTCCTCACCCCCCTCTCTGCTTATCTTAAGATAGAATGAATTTTGGAATGTCATCTGCAAGTTTCAGCAAAGCCTGCCTATGTTCAGAGAGACAAAAACCAGAGACTTTCAGTAAAATACATGTTAATGTAACACATAACAGTATTACTATTCAAGGCCTGCAAAGATAGGGCTATTCGGGGTAAGCCTGTCTCAGAGGAAAATAGAGGCTTAGGGAATGTATTTGTCTGTTCTCATGCTACTAATAAAGACATGCCTGAGGCTGGGTAATTTATAAAGGAAAGAGGTTTAATAGACTCACAGTTCCACATGGTTAAGGAGGCCTCACAATCTCGGTGGAAGGTGAATGAGGAGCAAAGTCACGTCTTACTTGGTAGCAGGCAAGAGAGCTTGTGCAGGGGAACTCCCCTTTATAAAACCATCAGATCTTGTGAGACTTATTCACTATCATGAGAACAGCATGGGAAAGACCCACCCAATGATTCAATTACCTCCCACCACGTCCCTCCTATGACACATGCGGATTAGGGGAGCTACAATTCCAGATGAGATTTGGGTGGGGACACAGCCAAACCATATCAGGGAATAATCTCAATACATGAGATGCAGAGTTCTGTCTTGGGGTCCCCTGATGTTCTATTTTCCTCCTGCGTTAGGATTCCTCCTGTGTGTGTGTGTTGTGTGGTTGCTGGTTTCTTCTGTGGGTCCTCTCTTTTCTAGCCACCTTCTCATTTTCATGACTTGCTGTTCCTGATCATTGTCAATGTTAAGAACCGTAAGGATTTTTCTTGTCAGAAATATCCCCATATTTACAAAGACCCCAGGGAGCTTCTTGGAGAAAAGCCAACATGAAAATCCTCCAGACAGAGAATAACAATTGAAGGGGAATGAGTCTGACATTGTGCTCAGTGAGCTGTGGCCATGCTGTGTGCTTTACCCCAACTACCTTGTCAGTTCCTCTCAACAACTGCCTCAGCCAGCCCAGCTGCCATAATAAAGTACCCGAGACCGGATGGCCTAAATAACAGACATTGGTTTTCTCACTGTTCTGGAGGCTAGAAGTTCATGATCAAAGTATCCACCAATCCCTTTCTGGTAAGGGCTGTCTTCCTGCCTTGTAGACAGCAGCCTTCTTGCTTGTCCTCACATAGTAGTGAGGGGGAGAGACAGAGACAGAGACATCTCTTCTTTTTATAAAACCATCAATCCTATCAGATTAGGATTCCACTCTTATGACCTCCTTTAACGTTAATTAGCTCCTAATGAGTGAATTGGGGGGAACACAATTCAGTCCACAGCAACAACCCTGAGAGATGGGACTCTGGTCCCCTGTTCTGCACTTGAAGCCAGTGGTCAGAGGAGTTGAGCCATTTGCCTGAGGACACCATGGACAACGGCAGGGCCAGGATTCAGGCTCAGCTAATACAAGGCTTGCACTCCAGCTACTCTGAATTTTGAGGGATGCAACCACCTCCCCATTCTGATCCTGAGTTGTCTAAATTAGCTTTCCTCCATCCCTTTCTATCCTTTTATGTGATTGTCATTCCCAGAAACCACAGGATAGAGATATTCATTTAGTGACTGTCTCTCCTGCTAGTGGCTCAGCTCCACAGGGGCAGGTGCTTTGTCATCTTATTTTGCGTGGTGTCCCTGCATCTAGGATGCGGTGCTGGTACAGAACGGGTGCGCAGTCAGTAGTTAAGGAACAATTGAATGATGACTGCTGATCTGGGCTTATGAGCTTTTTCCTGTGCCTTATTGTCATCCAATATTTGCTATTTATAAGATGTCAATTTTTTTTTAATGTAAAGAGTTGATGAGCTGTTATTTGGTTTTATTGAGGGGTGTTTTGGGGCATTTATCTCAGCAAACCATGGCCACGCCTCCATATAATGTCCAAGAGAAAGAGTCTCTAAATGCACTGTGTTGGATGTTAGCTAAATGAAATCACCACAAGAAGCTCGTGACTCAAATCACAGGGGCTCACAAAGCCCTAGTAGAACGGGGGCCTCTGGGCTTGCCTGTGGATTTTCTTGGTGTGTCGGTATCCCTGTCTGCGTGGCCACTCTAGAGGTGAGAAGCATGCAGCGCATGCTCAGGGGTCTGCAGGCCAGTGTGCCGCAGAGGTGCATGTGGACATCAGGCTGGGCCATTTCGACCTAAACAGGCAGTGGCCACCAGCCAATGTCACACAGTGCTGAGCTCCATCCTCAATGCTGCTGGAGAGAGGTGCCCAGAAAACTCTCAGTCGCATCCCCGGCCCCACTGTGGGGATGTGACCCATGGGTTGAGCTGGGGTCTCTAGGCACCCCCAAAGCAGGAGCAGCTGGGAGCCAAGAGTGTGAGCAGGGCAGTTTCCAGCCCAAACCACCCAAATAGGTGGCAAATCGAGTGAATCCAAAAGTACATTTCCCAGGTCAGGCTGCAAGTAGCTTTGACACAGTAGTGCAGTCCAGTGTACATGGGGACAAAGAGATGAGAAACCAAAATCGAGAGGTTTGTCCCCTGATATTAAAGCACAGAGGTTGGCAGAAGGGAGAGGGAGATGAACAAGTGTTCCTGGTGAAGTGTCTCCTGGGGTCATTTGAATGATCTGTGAGATGGTTTCCCCAACATTGAAAAAGCCTCTTAGGCATGATTGAATTTAGTGTCATTTCAATAATACAGACTTACTCCCTGAATTCATTCTAGAATCAAGATCATGAGCCTGAGGAAGCTCATAGAAAAAAATTGGAAATTAGAGAAATGGAAAAGGAGTGGTGTGTGTGTATGTGTGCATGTGTGTCCATGTGTGTGCGTGTGTGTGCACGTGTGCACGTGTGCGTGTGCGTGTGTGCATGTGTGTGCATGTGCACGTGTGCATGTGCGTCTGTAAGCATGTGTGTATGTGCATGTGTGTGCATACGTGTGAGTGTGTGCATGTGGCTGTGTGCATGTGTGTGCATCTGTGTGTGCATGTGTGTCTGTATCTGTCTGCATGAGTCTGTGTGCATCTGTGTGTGCATGTGTGCACGTGTTTTTGTGTGAGCATGTGTATGTGTGTGCATGTGTTTGTGTGTACATGTGTGTACATGCGTATCTGCGTGTGCATGTTTGCATGTGTGTGCCTGTATGTGCATGCATGTGTATCTCTACATGTGTGCATGTGTGTGTGCATGTATGAGTGTGCATGTGTGTTTGCATGTGTGTTCATGCATGTGTATCTCTGTGCATATGTGTATCTGTGTGTGCATGTGTTCGTATGTATGTGCATGTGTGTGCTTTCGTGTGTTTGTGTGCATGTGTGTATCTGTGTGTGTATGTGTGTATCTGTGTGTGTGCCTGTATGTATGTGTATCTGTATGTTTGTGCGTGTGTGTGTATCTGTATGTGTGCTTGTATGTGTGGGGGGGGTGCATGTGTGTATGCATGCATGTGTGTGCATGCATATGTGCATGTGTATGTGTGTGTGTGTGTGTGTTGGAAGTTCTTAGCAAGGCAGTGTAATAGCTGGCTCGGCATGAACCATTGTCCCCTGGCAGATTGTGCCCAAGGAGACCTATGTATTTAGCCTTGCAGGAGAATATGACCTCTCCTATTCCACCGAATTACTGTTTCATTGACATCTGGCTTTGGGTGTTTACCTCATATGTGTCTGCAGGCATGCCTTTTGTGGCCTAATATTTCCGTTGCTGCCCCTGCCCCCTTGGGACAGTGACAGATATGTCATCAGCCTCTGGCAGGCCCTGCTGTGGGCTTTTGGGGCACAGGGGTAAGGAAGCTGGGCAAAAGCGACAGGCTTGCAGCCTGGGATATCCTGTGTTGGGAAGCATCATTCTTTCATAAGGGAGGAACTGCAGGGCCACAGACAAGCTCGTACTGAAAGAGAAACACAACAACACGCTCCAGAGTCAGAGCTACGTGATTCCCCCACCAGGGAGGACCACTGGAAATCAGCACCACCTTGTCACGGAGATGTGGATTTGGATGTGTTCCCACGGTCTCCAATCTCTGGTTCCATGACAGAAGGTTCCTGTCACACCAATAAGTGCTGTCAGACCAGCGCTCGGTATGGTTTGTGCTTTCTTCTGGACAACCCTCGGGCCCTGACTGCTGCCTTGATCCTCTCAACAGCAATAGGGCCCCGACAGGGGGAACCCTCGCCATGGCCTCTGGGTGTCTTATCTGGACATGAACGAGCTGGAGTGTGTGTTTGCCCCAAGTCAGGATCTAAGACTGGAAAGGAGCCTTTAAAGGCCATAGGACCCCCTTCAGAAGCTCCCAAGTGCATACAGCAGCTGATCAAATTAAAGTCATTCACTCCAGCTGGGGATGAACCAAGCCTAAATTTAAAACAATGCCGGCAATAACACAGTGTGAAGATTCTGTTGAATCACAAGGCAAACTCTGTTTTTCCAGAATACAGAATAGGAAAAGGAGATACAAAAGTATAAAGTAGTCCAAGTGATTCTAGAGAAGAGTTGACATTCCCTTAGTGTAAAGCCTGGGACCATGGAGAGAGCCCTGGCCTGAGCTTGGGGTCCCAGCAAAGTGGTGGCTTTGCACAAGCGACTTGACTACAACAAGAGGGGTTGGGTTGGACCAGCTCATCATTAAGATTCCAGCTGACCAACATCTGGTGAGTTTGTAACTTCAAACTAGTTGATCCAGATGACTCAGAAGCCTCGTTCCCAGGGACCTGCCAAGCTTTGCCCATGTTGCCCATCTCTGGCAGCTGCATCTCAGCAGAGTCGATGCAGACTAGCCCTAAAGAGTCTCACTTAGCAGGAGGCAGGCCTAGGCCAAGAGACACCTGGAGTCTTATGAGAGAGAAGCTCTCCTGGCAGGAGAACCCAGACACCCACCTCCCAGGAGAAGAGGAGAGAGAAAAAATGGGAACTGATTTTATGGAGCCCCATCCCCAGGGCGCCAAGTCGAGGGCTTAAATCCATGATTCCCTCCTTTTATGCACTCAGCAAATATTTTCATAATGCCCACTCTGTGCCAGAGATGGCAATGGGGATTTGGCAAAGAAGAAGACGGTTCCAGCCCCTGCCCTCAGGGATCTTGCATTCTAGGTGGAGAGAAAGGATGGCACCCACTCAGCGAGTGAGTCAGGATTGTAAATTGGGCTGTGAAGAAGACATTCAAGATACTCTGAGACTAAATGACAGGGGACCTGGCTAGGCTAAGGCAGGGGGAGTTATCTAGTAGTGCTGGATGAAGAGGGAGGAAAGAACTTTCCAGGCTAACAGAAGAGCACATGCAGAAACACCAGGGTGCGCAGGCATCTGATGCAAAACGAGTGAGGAATGGGAGGCCGGAGCGGGGAGCAGAGAGGAAACGGAAGGTCTCGGGAGTTGAACTTGGGGAGGGTGACAAGGGCCAGGTCATAGCCGGCTTCCTAGGCTGTGGTCAGGACTTGACTTTTATTAGGTTGGTGCAAAAGTAATTGTGATTTCCGCCATTACTTTTTTTTTTTTTTTATCAGAGCCTGTCTCGGTCACCCAGGTTGGAGTACAGTGGTGTGATCTTGGATCACTGCAACCTCCGCCTCCCACATTCAAGCCATTTTCCTGCCTCATCCTCCCAAGTAGCAGGAACTACAGGCGCACACCACCACCCCCAGCTAATTTTAATTTTTGTAATTTTAGTAGAGATGGGGTTTCACCATGTTGCCCAGGCTGATCTCAAACTGCTGACCTCAAGTGATCCACCTGCCTCGGTCTCCCAAACTGCTGGAATTACAGGTGTGAGCCACCATGCCCAGTCAATTTCTGCCATTACTTAGGAGACGGAAGAGGTCATCTATACATTTTAAGTCAGGCAGTGGTGTGACCCAATGGGTATTTCTAAAAGATTACAGAGGCCATGCAGGAAAGATGGTTTCATATGGTCTGTGGTTGCTTTTGCACTACAACAGCAGAGCTGTTATATTTGCAACAGAGACCACATGGCCCATAAACCTGCAATAGTTCCTATCTGGCCATTCACTAGAAGAGGGGGGCAAGAGAGCAGGATGGGGCCCAAGTGCCTGCAGGGAAGATGGAGCAGAACAGTGTTTCATCCCTGTTTTTCAGATAATTTCACGAGGTCGAAAGACATCTTAATGAAAGTGAAAGTACAAGGTATTTACCAGGAGATATTCACACCAGAGGCCACGTCTCACACCTGCAATCCCAGCTTCACACCAGATTCAATGGTTCACACCTGTAGTCCCAGCGTTTGGGGAGGTCAAGGCAGGAGGATCATTTTCAGCCAGGAGTTTAAGACCAGCCCGGGCAAAATAGTCAGACCTCATCTCTTCAAAAAAATATAATAAAAAGTTAGCCAGGCATGGTACTACATGTCTGTAGTCCCGGCTACTCAGGAGGCTGAGGTGAGAGGATTGTTTGAGCCCAGAAATTCAAGGCCGCAGCACGCTATGATTGTGCCACTGCACTCCAGTCTGGGTGAAAAAGGGAGACTCTCTCTCTTTCTCACTCTCTCTCTCACACGCTCTCTCTCTCTCTCTATATATATATGTATATATATGTATATATGTATATATGTGTATATATGTATATATACGTATATGTATGTGTATATATGTATATATGTATGTGTATATATGTATATATGTATATATGTATATATATGTATATATGTATATATATGTATATATGTATATATGTATATATATGTATATATGTATATATGTATATATGTATGTATATGTACATATATATATACTCACAATATATTTGCTGTCAAATTATTATCATCAAAAGTCTATAGAAAATAAACACATCCTTGGGCTGGGCACAGTGGCTCACGGCTGTAATCCTAACACTTTGGGAAGTTGAGGTGGGTGGATCACCTGAGCTCACGAGTTCAAGACCAGCTTGGCCAACATGGCAAACCCCATCTCTACTGAAAATACAAAAATTAGCTGGTGTGGTGGCACGCACCTCTAATCTCAGCTACTCAGGAGGCTGAGGCGCAAGAATCGCTCGAACCCGGGAGGCGGAGGTTGCAGTGACCCCAGATTGTGCCACTACACTCCAGCCTGTGCGACAGAGTGAGACTACATGAAAACGCAAAACAAAACAAAATAAAACCAAACCAAAAAAAAAACAACAAAAACAAACAGGCACTTCTGACGCAGGCCGCAACATGGATGAACCTTGAAGACATTATCGTCAGTGAAATAAATAAATCCCAAAAGGATAAACATGCCAAAGCTCAGTGGCTCGCACCTGTAAGCCCAGCATTTTGGGAGGCTGAGGCAGGCGGATCACTTAAGCTCAGGAGTTCGAGACCAGCCTGGCCAATATGGTGAAAGCTCGTCTCTATTAAAAATACAAAAATTAGCTGGGTGTGATAGCGCACGCCTGTAATCCCAGCTACTCGGGAGACTGAGACATAAGAATAGCTTGAACCCCCAATGTGGAGGTTGCAGTGAGCCGAGTTCATGCCACTGCACTCGAAACTGGGTGACAGAGAAAGACGCTGACTCTAAAAAAAAAAAAAAAAATTGAACACGGTATGATTCCACTTATCTATCAAGTGTCTAGAGTAGTTAGACTCCTAGAGTTACAAACTAGAAAGGTGGCCCCCAGGGGTGGGCGAGAGAGAGGAGTGGAGAGCTTGGCGAATGGTTGCAATTTCCATTTTGAAAAATAAAACTGTTCTGGAGATGATGACGGTGATGGTTGCTAAACAGTGTGAACGTACTTAATGTCATTAAACTGTAAACTGAAAAAGAGTGGAAACTGTAAAGGTTTATACTGGCCATTCTATATGAAATAATATATATTTATAATTTTTAATATTTATACATGGTGTATTTTCCCATAATAAAAGATGAAAATTAAAGCAGTTGGATCTTTAAAAAGCAAAGAAAGAAGGGAACAATACACACCAGCTTTCTCCTGATTAGAGGAAGAGCCCCAAAGCTTCTATGGACACTCACTTTTCTCTTCTTCTTCTTGCATGATGATGAGGAAATCCTCAGAGGTTGGGGGAACATGGGTGACTTTGGCTAATGAGGAGCTCTGTGCCTTGAGCCCCCCAGGCCACAGAACAGTAAATACTCAGTCTGTGCCTCCAGCCCTTCAGTGTGAGGTTCCAGTCCTGTGGGCTCCACAGCCGTCACCTGTATCAGGAGGCACATGTCTCACCCTGTCTTCTTGCCAGCCTTGAGGATGGAGTCTGAGCATCCATCGTGCAACACGCAGGGAGGACAGTGGACCTGTCCTCCATGGTCATGGCTCAGCAGAGGGGAAGGGCAGTTCAGTGAGTGTAGGCAAAAGAAAGAGTGCTCAGACTGTTACTGTGTCTCTGTAGAAAGGAAAGACATAAGAGACTCCATTTTGAGAAAGACCTGTACTTTCAACAATTGCTTTGCTGAGATGGTGTTAATGTGTAGCTTTGCCCCAGCCACTTTGACCCAACCTGAAGCTCACAAAAACATGTGTTGTATGAAATCAAGGTTTAAGGGATCTAGGGCTGTGCAGGATGTGCCTTGTTAAGATGTTTCCAAGCAGTATACTTGGTAAAAGTCATCGCCATTCTCTAGTCTCAATAAACCAGGGGCACAATACACTATGGAAAGCCGCAGGGACCACTTCCCTTGAAAGCGGCGTATTGTCCAAGGTTTCTCCCCATTTGATAGTCTGAAAAGTGGCCTCGTGGGAGGAGAAAGAACTGACCATCCCTGAGCCCGACCCCCATAAAGGGTCTGTGCTGAGGTGGATTAGTCAAAGAGGAAAGCCTCTTGCAGTTGAGAGAGAGGAAGGCCACTGTCTCCGGCCTGCCCCTGGGAACTGAATGTCTTGGTATAAAACCCGATTGTACATTTGTTCAATTCTGAGATGGGGGAAAAACCGACCTATGGTGGGAGGTGAGACATGTTGGCAGCAATGCTGCCTTGTTATTCTTTACTCCACTGAGATGTTTGGGTGGAGAGAAACATAAATCTGGCTTATGTACACGTCCAGTCATAGAACCTTCCCGTGAACTTCATGATGACATAGATTCTATTGCTCACATCTTCGTTGCTGACCTTCTCCTTATTATCACCCTGCCCTCCTACTACATTCCTTTTTGCTAAAATAATAAAAATAATAATCAATAAAAACTGAGGGAACTCAGAGGCCGGTGCCGGTACAGATCCTTGGTATGCTGAGCGCCGGTCCCCTGGGCTCAATGTTTTTTCTCCATACTTTGTCTCTGTGTCTTATTTCTTTCCTCAGTCTCTCATCCCACCCGACTAGAAATACCCACAGGTGTGGAGGGGCAGGCCACCCCTTCAAGTGAGTGCTGAGGGACAGTCGGGAGGCTTGCTTGGTTTCCTCCTCCTCAGGACAAACAGGAGAGTGAGGTGGGCAGATGGGAGGAGACCAATGTGCAAACTGTCCGCTCAGCAGACTGTGAAGTTGCTGTTTTTTGTTGTGCTGGGGGTCTCAGAAATCTTATTCAAAATTTTGCTTTCCTCCCCCACTGGTTGTCCTTTTCATAGACACCTCACCCATGATAGCAGGCAATCAGTCCCTCTAAACTATTCCCTAAGAACAACAAAAAGATTATGAAGGTGATGATGAGGATAAAGAGGATGACGACAGACATCATGGCATCATGAACCCTTACTGAGGGCTTCTTAAAGGCCAGGCTCTGAGCTCTGTGCTCTATGCAGCTCGTTTCATTTCATCTGCATAGTCTCCACGTTATTAGTGCACACTTCAGGATGATTTTACAGACTAGAAAAGGAGCAACACCTTTTCAGATAACTCATACTAGATCATGAAGTCAAAAAGGGTGAAGTCCAATTTGAACCAGGCAGTCTAAGTCCAGACACATGGCATTTGGCCAGTCCTCTCCCTGCAACCAACCTGCCCTCTCAAATCCTCGTCACTCAGGCGGATGCCACTCCTCACTGTGCCCTTCCCTTTGGGGGTTCCTTGTAGACCACAGCTAGACCAGTGGGTGCCACAATCACTGTGTCAAGTATGGAAAGGACAGCTGAGATCACATCGAGGATTCCAGAAAGAATTGGCACAGCATCATTCGGGACGCATCTCTCCCTTGCCCCTGTTCCTGGCTTTCCTTACAGCTCTCGACTTCCTCAAAGGAGTCATCAATTCGGAGTTTGGCTTCCATTCCTATTGAGGAAGCTGGAAAGCGTTTCAAAAATGCTCCTCCTATGTGCCTGTGGTTAAGACCTCTGAGCTCTGCTTAAAACTTTTGGAAGCTGGGAGCGGTGGCTCATGCCTGTAATCCCAACCCTTTGGGAGGCTGAGGCAGGTGAATCACAAGGTCAGGAATTCGAGACCAGCCTGGCCAACATGGTGAAACCACGTCTCTACTCAAAATAGAAAAAAATGAGCCAGGCGTAGTGGCGGGTGCCTGTCATCTCAGCTACTTGGCAGGCTGAGGCAGGAGAATAGCTTGAACCTGGGATGCAGAGGTTGCAGTGAGCCGAGATCACTCCACTGCACTCCAGCCTGGGCAACGGAGCGAGACTCCATCTCAAAACAACAAAAACAAAAACCAAAAAACCCACAACTTTTTGAGAGTTGGAAGACCAGGAAGTATAGCACCCGGGACTTCGAGTCTGGCCATGAATTTTGAATACCACCCTTTCTACTTCTCTGTATGGCAAGGGTGAGACGTCCATCCTCTGACACTCAGCACTCTCATCTGACTTGATTTCCAGTTGATCCGATGGAAGTGAGTGATGATTAAGCCGATCGTGGGTGCCCGCTGGGTGATCTCTAGGCGACGGAGGCATAAAGTAAAGGCAAAGTGAATTTTAGATACATTCCTTAAGATGTTCAGCTTCAACTCCACACAATTCAACGGAAATATCCCCTGACCTGAAGTTCTGCTTTCCCTGCATTCCAGACACGACATTTTGTTGTGTCCTTCTCTCAGTAAGTAGTGAGTACTGTGAGAGGAACAAGTGAGTCTCTTTGGTTTCTGATTCCCCAGAGCCTATATCTTGCTTGGCACCTAGGAGACAGCAAAAGTCAAAATGTATGTTAATGATTGAATTGACACTTCCTTGCTTCACCAAAATTGGCTGTCATCAGCGTGACTTTGACTTACTTGATGCTTTTTGTTTTTTGTTTTTTGAGACGGAGTTTTGCTCTCATTGCCCAGGCTGGCGTGCAGTGGTGTGATTTCGGCTCACTGTAGTCTCTGCCTCCCAGGTTCAAGCCATTCTCCTGCCTCAGCCTCCCGAGTAGCTGGGACTACAGGCGCGCGCCGCCATACCGGGCAAAGTTTTTGTATTTTTAGTAGAGGCGGGGTTTCACCATGTTGGCCAGGATGGTCTTGATCTCCTGACCCCGTGATCCGCCCTCCTCGGCCTCCCAAAGTGCTGGGATTACAGGCGTGAGCCACCGCGTCCGGCCAAACGTTCTGATGAAAACCCTAAGTCCACCTAAGCTAAGGACAGGAGTCAGAGCTTCCATGAATTTTAAAACAAGACCCACCGATTTGAGTAAGCAATTACTCTCTCGAAGGAGAAAAGTCCGAAAACAGAATGATGAAATCACTAGGACCTAACTGGCATGTGGAACTATTTTCTGCTTAGGAACTATCAACTTTCATTTCATTTCCAGATGGCATGGTCTCAGCTGTTATACAGTGTTTACAAATGTTCTAAATCAAGGGAATTTGTATCAATCTAGTAGAATAAATAAAATATTTGAGTTCTTAATTTCCTTTAATTAGGATAACCTTTTTCTTAAAGTGAAGACAATGGTTTTATTACATCTTTTTCTTCGGAAAAGATAGGCTGTATTTTCTAGCAATTACGAATTTGTTGTATATGATGATCTGGTTCTTGGAACGTTCTTGAAGCTAGTGTCTCTAAGGCAGGTGTGTACAGCAAGACGTGAATAACACAGCAATGGATGTTGAAAGCATTATAAGGCAATTGAGCTTGTCAGAACTACAAAATATTGCTGAGTGTGGATTGCTCGGAAATCGGAAAACATGACTTGTGTATTGCTTATATCCAAAATGCAGACACGATGCTGGGTATTGGTTTACTTGTTTCCGATTTTGCAACCCTCTTTTCCAGGCAAAAGAGGGTCGTATCCAAACGATACAGACCCACAGAGTCTAACAGATGTCTCTATATTCCTCCTCCTCGAACTCTCAGAGGATCCAGAACTGCAGCCGGTCGTCGCTGGGCTGTTCCTGTCCATGTGCCTGGTCACGGTGCTGGGGAACCTGCTCATCATCCTGGCCGTCAGCCCTGACTCCCACCTCCCCACCCCCATGTACTTCTTCCTCTCCAACCTGTCCTTGCCTGACATCGGTTTCACCTCCACCACGGTCCCCAAGATGAGCGTGGACATCCAGTCTCACAGCAGAGTCATCTCCTATGCAGGCTGCCTGACTCAGATGTCTCTCTTTGCCATTTTTGGAGGCATGGAAGAGAGACATGCTCCTGAGGTGATGGCCTATGACCTGTTTGTAGCCATCTGTCACCTTCTATATCGTTCAGCCATCTTGAACCCGTTTGTCCGTGGCTTCCTAGATTTGTTGTCTTTGTTGTTGGTTTTTTTTTTTTTTCTCTCAGTCTTTTAGACTCCCAGCTGCACAACTTGATTGCCTTACAAATGACCTACTTCAAGGATGTGGAAATTCCTAATTTCTTCTGGGAACCTTCTCAACTCCCCCATCTTGCATGTTGTGACACCTTCACCAGGAACAACAACATGTATTTCCCTGCTGCCGTATTTGGTTTTCTTCCCATCTCGGGGACCCTTTTCTCTTACTGTAAAATTGTTTCCTCCATTCTGAGGGTTTCATCATCAGGTGGGAAGTACAAACCTTCTCCACCTGTGGGTCTCACCTGTCAGTTGTTTGCTGATTTTATGGAGCAGGCGTTGGAGGGTACCTTGGTTCAGATGTGTCATCTTCCCCGAGAAAGGGTGCAGTGGCCTCAGTGACGTACGTACACGGTGGTCACCCCCATGCTGAACTCCTTCATCTACAGCCTGAGAAACGGGGATATTAAAAGTGTCCTACGGCGGCCGCATGGCAGCACAGTCTAATCTCAATACGTTCTTATCTGTTCCATTCCTTTTGTAGGGTGGGTTAACAAAGACAGCAAGGTCAAATAAGAATGATATCACAGGGTGAAGACCCACTGTGATATTACGAGTAATACCTCCCTAGGACATAAAAAATACTGTCACAGAGTACACACACATGGGGTACACCCACGGTGATATTAGAAGCACTATCTCCCTTAAATATTATGAAAAATATCACAGGGTGTGCACACTGTGTGATATGAGGAGTCATATTTACCCTGGATATCACAACTCGTATCAAGGGTGTACACACACCAGGTACACGCACTGTGATATCAGGAGT
The DNA here is from genome assembly GCF_000001405.40 of Homo sapiens. Taxonomy (NCBI): domain Eukaryota; kingdom Metazoa; phylum Chordata; class Mammalia; order Primates; family Hominidae; genus Homo; species Homo sapiens. The sequence continues at coordinate 130,034,204 of NC_000003.12, read as the reverse complement.
TGCATCTCCCTAGGATATTACGAATAATATCACAGGGTATACACTATGTGTGAACATCCACTGTGACATTTGAACTCATATCTCTCTATGAGATTACAAATAATAGCAAAGTGTGTACACCCCTGTGACATATTAGGAGTAACATCCTTCTAGGGTATTGCAGATAACATCACAAGGTGTACACCTTCTATGACCTTTTGCGCACACTTTGTGCCATTCAAGGAAACATCCCCCTAGGATATTACAAATAATGACACAGGCGGTTGACACACATGGTGTACATCTCCTGTGCCATCAGGAGTAATATTCCCCTAGGATATTACGAATAATATCACAGCAGGTGTACACATACGGTGTTCCCCACATGTGACATTAGGAGGAACATGCCCCTAGGATATTAGGAATAGGATCACAGGCGTTGAATACGCATGATATACACCCCCGGTGACATTGAAAGTAACATCCCCCTAGGATATTACGAATAATATCACAGGGAGTACACCCCGTGTGACATTAGGAGTAACATCCCCCGAGGATATAACGAATAACATCAGGGGGCGTACATACATTGTGACCTTAGTGGTAACATCCTTTAGGATATTACCAATAATATCACAGGGTGTACACTGACCGTGATATTAGGAGTCCCATTTTCCTAGGATATTATGGATAATATCACAGGAGGTGTTCACACACAATGTGTACACCATGTGTGTACACCCAATGTGATATTTGAAGTCATATGTCCCTAGGATCTTACGAATATTATCAAAGGGTGTACACCCCATGTGACATTAAAAGTAACATCCCTTTTGGATATTCCGAATGCTATCACAGGGTGTGATATTAGGAGTGTGATATTAGGAGTAACGTCTTCCTAGGATAACCCATGTGATATTAGGAGTAACCCCTTCCTAGGATATTACGAACAACATCACAGAGTGTACACCCCTGTGACTTTAAAAGTAACACCCCCCAGAATATTACAACAATATAACAGGGTGTACAACCCCTGTGACATTATGAGTGACATCTCCCTAGGATATTTCGAATGATGTCACTGGGGGCACACCCTCTGTGATATTAGCAGCAACATCTTTCTAGGAGATTACGAATGATATCACAGGGTGCACACTCACTGTGATATTAGAAGGAATATCTCCCTAGGATATAAGCTATCACATCACAGAGTGTACACACATGGTGTACACCCACTGTGTTATTAGAAGCAATATCTCCCTATGATATTATGAAAAATATCACAGGGTGTACCCTCTGTGGGATACTAGAAGTAATGTTTACCATGGATATTACAAATAATATCACAGGACGTACACACATGGGGTACACCCACTGTGATATTAGGAGTTATATCTCCCTCAGATATTACAAATAATATCCCAGTGGGTGTAGCCCATGTGTTTACACCCACTGTGATCATTAAAGTAATATCTCTCTATAAGATTACAAATAATATCGATGGCTGTACACCCCCTGTGACATTAGGAGTAACATCCCCCTACAATATCGGGAGCAATATCACACGGTGTACACCCCTGTAACGTTAGGGGTAACATCCGCACAGAATAGTACTAATAATATCACAAGGTGTACACGCATTGTGACATTAGTAGTAGTATCCAGCTAGCATATTTTCAATAATATCACAGAAGGAACACACCTGTGACATTAAGAGTGACATCCCCCTAGAATAATAAGAATACTATCAGAGGGTGTACACCCCCTGTGATATTAGGAGAATCATCTCATCAGAATATTACGAATAATGTCACAGGGTGTTATCTTCTGTGACATTAGGAGTATAGACCCCTGGGAAATTATGAATACTATCACAGGTGTACACCCCTGTGAAATTAGGAGTAACATCCTTCTAGAATATCATGAATAATCTCAGAATGTGTACACCGCCTGTGTCATTAACAGTACGATTGCCCTAGGATATTATGAAATAGAACACAGGAAGTACACGCCATGTGACATTAGAAGTCACATCCCCCGAGGATATAACGAATAATATCAGAGAATGTACATGCATTGGGACATCAGGAGTCACATCTCTTTAGGATAATACGAACAATATCAAAGGGTGTACACGCATTGTGAAATTAGTAGTGAACTCCCGCTTGGATATTGCGAATTTTATGACAGGGTCTCCACGCCCTGACACATTAGTAGTCACGTTTTCCTAGAATATGACGAAGAATATTAAAGGGTGTACAGGACCTGTGATTTACGAGTAACATTTCTATAGAAGATTCACGTAATATCCCTGTGTGTACACCCTGTGTGACGTTAGGAGTCACATCCCACAAAACTATAACGAAAAATTTCACAAGGTGAGCAACATCTGTGACATTAAAAGCAACATTTCCCTAGAATATGATGATAATATCACAGAGTGTATACCCTCGGTGATATGAGGAGTGATATCTCACAAGGGTAATACGAGTAATTTGAAAAGGCGTACAAACTCTGTGACATAAGGAGTGACATCCCTCCAGGATATTCTGAATCATACCACAGGGAAAATATTCCGTGTGACAATAAAATCAACCTCCCCTTAGGAGATTAAGAATCATAACACAACCTGTACACACATTGTGACATAATTATTAACGTCCCACTAGGGTATTGCGAATAATATCAGAGCGTGTAGAGAATTGTGACATCAGGATTCACATTTCGCTACAATAGCACGAATAATATCACAGGATGTATATCCCCTGGGACTTAAACAGTGACACCTTCCTAGAATATGGAAAATAATGTCCCAGGGTGTAGACCAAGTGTGGCAGTAGAGAAAACATGCTAGGACAAAGGGAGTAATATCACCCCCTCTCCCCACCTGGATATTACGAGCCACATCGCAGGGGGAACAGGGCGCCCCACGTGATGCGGGGAGTAATATCACCCGCCTCTCCACCCCCGGATATTACGATCCAAATGGCAGGCGGGCGAGGCGCCCCTCGCGATGCGGGGAGTAATACCACCCGCCTCTCCCCCCGCAGATATTAAGATCCAAATGGCAGGGGGGCGAGGCGCCCCCCGCGATTCGGGGAGTAATACCACCCGCCTCTCCCCCCGCATATATTAAGATCCAAATGGCAGGGAGGCGAGGCGCCCCCCGCGATGCGGGGAGTAAGAGCCAGCCCCTCTTGCCCCCCTGGCTCTTAGGATCCGCGGTGGACTCACAGCCTGTTTATCATATTGTGAGTAATATCATCTCCCCCTCTGGAGATTATGAACCGTTTCGCAGACCTGTGTACACCCTTTGTGTACAGAGGTTGTACATCCGTCTGTATTGGGAGTCATATCATCCTCTTCCTCCCTGAATATTATGAACAGTATCACAGGGGTGTTTCTGCTCCCTGGGATATCGGGTGTCATGTCCTCCTCTCACACGCTGCAATTAGAAATAATATCATTGGGGACGTGTCCACCTTCTGTGATGTTGAAAGTAACATTATCCTCTTCCTTCCAGGATCATGGGAACGATATCCTTGGGGGTGTCCACTTTCTGCCATACATGTAGTCATATCACCTCCTCGGCCTTGGAATATTTTTAAGGACCATCTCACACGGGGGTATACACTTCCTGTGATGTTGGGAGTAATGGCATTCTCTTCTTCCGTGAATATTAGGAGCAAATTCACCGGGTGGATGCACACTCAGTGCTATATTGGGAGTAACGTCATACTCCACCCCCTGGAGATTATATTCGGATCAATATCACCGGCTGTGTGTACACCTACTGCGATATTGAACGTAGTATCATGCTCTCTCCCTCCCTGGAGATTAGGAGCAATATCACAGGTGGGTGTACACCCCCTGAGGTGTTAGGGCGTAATATTAGTATGAATTATTCCTCATTTTTTATTATCAGGAATATGAATGACCGATATTAATATCAATATTAAGAAATAATTGCTAATAAAAGTTTCCCATTATTAATATTAATATTAATTATTAGGAGCTAATATTACTGTGTTCTAATGAATAAGATCAATATCAGTTATTAATATCAGGCGTCATTAATCATTAATATTAATCATTTATTTTTATCGTTTTTATAACTATTTAATAGTAATTATCATTATTATCGTTATTATCGTTATTGATTTTAAAAATTATATTATGGGTTATTGATATTGATAATTATTAGTGTCAATTAATAATTGAGATTATTAATTGCGGTAAGTCGCATTGCGCCATTCCACCCCTCCCTCGGCAGCTCGTTTACGACCCAAAACGGGGACACAAATGCCCCTGAGAGTGCAGCGTTATACTGGGATAGACGAGGATGGTCACGTGGTGGAGAGGCGTGTTTTTGGGTACCAGCACTTCACCTGCGTCCACCTTCTCAACTGGAAAAACAATACACCGCCCTATACCGAAAAGCCACAAGCACTAATTGATTTGCTCCAAGCTGTTATTCAGACCCACAACCCCACCTGGGCTGATTGGCACCAGTTGCTCATGTTCCTCTTTTAACAGTGAAGAAAGGCGGAGAGTCCTCCAAGCAGGAACTAAGTGGCTAGAGGAACATGCACTAGCTGATTATCAAAACCCCCAAGAATATGGAAGGACCCAGTTGCCAGGAACCGACCCCCAGTTGGACCCACATGAAAGAGAGGAGATGCAAAGGCTAAACCGAGACAGGGAAGCTCTCTTGGAAGGATTAATGAGGGGAGCTCAGAAGGCCACAAACGTTAACAAGCTCTCTGAGGTCATTCAGGGAAAAGAAGAAAGTCCAGCACAATTCTACGAGAGACTGTGTGAGGCCTATCGTATGTATACTCCCTTTGATCCCGATAGCCCTGAAAATCAGCACATGATTCACATGGCTTTAGTCCGTCAAAGCGCAGAAGACATGAGAAGAAAACTGCAGAAACAGGCTGGGCTTGCAGGGATGAATCCATCACAATTACTAGAAATAGCTAGCCAGGTGTTCATAAACAGGGATGCAGTAAGCCCTAAGGAAAATGGCAAAGAGAATGGAGGTCAGGCCTGGGGACACGCCGACCTGTTTGTCAGCTGCAGCAATCAGAGGGCCCCCCACAAAGAGGCAAGGGAAAGGGGGCCCTGGGAAAGAAACTCAGCTTGGCTGTCAGAGTTTGCAGCGCAACCAGTGTGCTCATTGTAAAGAAATAGGACAGTGGAAAAACAAACGCCCTCAGCTCAAAAGAAAACAAGGTGACTCAGAGCAGGAGGCCCTGGACAAGGAGGAAGGGGCCCTGCTCAACCTGGCGGAAGGGTTCTTGGACTGAGGGAGACCGGGCTCAAGCGTCCCCAAAGAGCCTCTGCTCAGAATGACAGTCGGGGGTGGAGACGTTGACTTTCTTGTAGATAGCGGTGCTGAACATTCGCTAGCAAGCGCCCCGGTCGCCCCCTTATCCAAAAAGACTATTGACATCATCGGAGCCACGGGGGTTTCAGCAAAGCAAGCTTTCTGCTTGTCTCAGACTTGTACTGTAGGAGGACATAAAGTCACTCATCAGTTTTGGTACATGCCTGACTGTCCCTTGACCTTTTTGGGAAGGGACTTGCTCAGCAAGCTGAGAGCCACTATGTCTTTGACAGAGCACGGCTCTTTGCTGCTAAAGTTACCCGGAACGGGGGTCATTATGACCCTTATGGTCCCCCGAGAGGAGGAATGGAGACTTTTCTTAACGGAGCCGGGCCAAGAGAGAAGACCAGCTCTGGCTAAGCGGTGGCCAAGAGTACGGGCAGAAGACAACCCTCCGGGATTGGCCAGTTAAGACTGGGGCCCAGCCAGTGAGACAAAAACAGGACCAGGTCCCCAGAGAAGCCCTTCAAGGTATCCAGGTCCGTCTCAAGCACCTGAGAACTTTTGGAATTATTGGTCCTCGTCAGTCTCCATGGAACACTCCCCTCCTGCCTGTTCCCAAGCCACGGACCAAGGACTACCGGCCGGCACAGGATTTGCACTTGCTTCATCAAGCTACACTGACTTTCCATCCAACAGTACCTAACCCGTCCACATTGTTGGGGTTGCTGCCAGCTGAGGACAGCTGGTTCACCTGCTTGGACCTGAAAGACGCTTTCTTTCCTATCAGATTAGCCCTTGAGAGGCAGAAGCTGTTTGCGTTTCAGTGGGAAGATCCGGAGTCAGATGTCACTACTCAGTACACTTGGACCGGGCTTCCCCAAGGGTTCAAGAACTCCCCCACCATCTTCGGGGAGGCGTTGGCTCGAGACCTGCAGAAGTTTCCCAGCAGAGACCTAGGCTGCATGTTGCTCCAGTAGGTTGATGACCTTCTGCTGGGACACCCCACGGCAGTCGGGTGTGCCAAGGGAACAGATGCCCTACACCGGCACCTGGAGGACTGTGGGTAGAAGGTGTCCAAGAAGAAAGCTCAGATCTGCTGATGGCAGGTACGTTACTTTGGATTGACTATCCGACAGGGGTCAGAAAGCAGCCCGGAATCAGAATGAAAGCAGGTCATTTGCAATCTAGCGAAGCCTAAGAGCAGGAGGCAGGTGAGAGAATTCTTAGGAGCTGTGGGGTTTTGTAGACTGTGGATCCCAAACTTTGCAGTATTAACCAAGCCTTTGTATGAGGTCACAAAGGGGGTGGGGACCGGGAACCTTTGGAATGCAGATCCCAACAACAGCAAGTCTTTCATGAGTTAAAGGAAAAACTTCTGGCAGCCCCAGCCCTGGGGCTACCCGATCTGACAAAGCCTTTTCCATTGTATGCATCAGAGAGAGAAAAGATGGCAGCTGGACTTTGAACCCAAACTGTAGGGCCCTGGCCGAGGCCGGTGGCCTACCTCTCTAAACAACTAGATGGGGTTTCTAAAGGATGGCCCCCCTGTTTGAGGGCCTTGGAAGCAACTGCCCTGCTAGTACAAGAAGCAAATAAGCTGACTCTTGGGCAAAACCTGAACATAAAGGCCTCCCGTGCTGTGGTGACTTTAATGAATACTAAAGGACATCATTGGCTAACGGATGCCAGACTCACCAAGTACCAAACTTTGCTCTGTGAAAATCCCCGTATAACCACTGAAGTTTGTAACACCCTACACCCCGCCACCTTGCTCCCGGTATCAGAGAGCCCTGTCGAGCCTGATTGTGTAGAAGTGTTGGACTCAGTTGATTCTAGCAAACCTGACCTCCGGGACCAGGCTTGGGCATCAGTAGACTGGGAACTATACGTGGATGGGAGCAGCTCCTTCAACCCCCAAGGAGAGAGAGGTGCAGGGTATGCAGTGGTAACCCTGGACACTGTTGTTGAAGCCAGATCGTTGCCCCAGGCCACTTCAGCCCAGAAAGCTGAACTCGTTGCTTTCATTCGGGCCTTAGAACTCAGTGAGGTTGAGACTGTCAACATTTACACTGATTCTCGGTATGTCTTTTCAACCCTTCAAGTGCATGGAGCATGATAGAAAGAAAAGGGCCTACTGAACTCTGGGGGAAAAGACAGAAAATAACAACAAGAAATCTTGCAATGATTAGAAACAGTATGGAAACCCCACGAGGTGGCAGTTATGCATTGCAGAGGACACCAGCGAGCTTCCACCTTGCTGGGTTTGGGGAATTCCCGCGCTGACTCAGAGGCTCGAAAAGCAGCATCTGCCCCCTTCTGGGCATCAGTGCTCCCTCAAGCACCTGATCTTGGACCTACTTCTTCTAAAGAAGAAAAGGACCTTCTCCAGGTAGAGGGAAGGACAAGTGATGGAGGAAGGATGGATTCGGTTACCAGATGGGAGACTAGCTGTGCCACAGCTGCTAGGAGCTGCAGTTGTACTGGCTGTGCAAGAAACCACCCATCGAGATCAGGAGTCACTGGAAAAGTTGTTAGGCTGGTATTTCTACATCTCACCTCTGTCAGCCCTTGCCAAAACGGTGAGGCAGTGGTGTGTTACCTGCCAACAGCATGATGCGAGGCAAGGTCCAGCCGTTCCGCCTGGCATACGAGCTTATGGAGCAGCCCCCTTTGAAGGTCTCCAGGTGGACTTCACAGAGATGCCAAAGTGTGGAGGTAACAAGTATGTACTAGTTCTTGGGCGTACCTACTCTGGGTGGGTGGAGGCCTATCCAACACGAACTGAGAAAGCTGGTGAAGAAACCCCTGTGCTTCTTCGAGATCTAATTCCTAGATTTTGACCGCCTTATGGATCGGCTCAGACAACGGGCCTGTGTTTTTGGCTGCCTTGGTACAGAAGACAGCAAAGGTATTGGGGATCACACGGAAACCGCATGCCGCCTCCTGGCCTCAGAGTTCCGGAAAGGTGGAGCGGATGAATCGGGCCATCAAAAATAGTACTATTGTCTTCCCCGCTGGATATTTAAAACAACACCACAAGGGGCGTCAAACCACCTCCTAAATTTGAGGGAATGTTATCCTCTCCCCCGCTCCCCCGGCCCCGGATATTAGAGACAATAACACACGGGTGATGTACACCCACTGCTTTATTGGCAGTAATATCATCCTCTCCCTTCTTGGATATTAGGAACAATATCACACTCTGCGTGTACGCCTGTCACGAAATTCTATGGAATGTCATCCTGCGCCTCCCTGGATATGACGAACAATATCACGGGGGATGTGCAACTTCTGAGATATTGGAAGTGATATCATCCTCTCCCCTCTGGAAGTTAGGGACAATATCACAGGGGTAGTGTACACCCTCTGGGATGTTGGGACTAATATCATCCTCCCGCCTACTGGATATTAAAAACCATATCACAAGGGGCGTGTACACACACTTCGATATTGGTATGAATACCATCCTCTCCCTCTTTGGATATTCGGTGCCATATTTCTGGTGGGGTATACACCACCTGCAATATTGGAGGTAATATGATTTTCTCCCCCCCTGGATATCACAAACAATATCACAGGGGTTGTGAACAACCCCTGCGATACTTGGAGCAATATCATCTTCTCCCCTCACGATTACTAAGAACAATATCGTAGGGGTGGGGGATGTACACCCCCTTTCATATTTGATATCATCCTCTTCCCCCCTGGATATTAGGAGCAATATCAGGAAGGGAGGTACAGACCCTGCGACCTTTGCTGTCATATAATTGTCTCTCCCTTAGATATTAGGAAAAAATGTCACTGGGGATGTGAACAGCCCTGCGATATTGAGAGTAGTATCATCCCCTCCCCCCTTGCATATTGGGAACAACATCACAGGTGGGGTGTACTGCCTCTGTGATATTGGGAGTGAAATTTTCCTCTTTTCCCCTGGACATTAGGAAGGGTATCAGAGGGGAAGGGTGTACATTCCCTGCGATATTCAACGTAACCTTATCCTCTGCCTCCCAGGGTATTCAGAACAATATTACAGGAGGGGTGTACACCCTCTGCGATATTGAGAGTCATGTCATCCTCTTTCACTCTGGATATTAGGAACAATATCACAGGGTTGTGTACACCCCCTGCGATATTGGGAGTGATATCATCCTCTCTCCCTGTGGATATTAGGAAGAGTATCACAGGGCTGTGGAAACCCCCTGCGGTAGTGGGAGTAATACCATCCTCTCTCCCTCCAGAAATAGGAAGATTTTCACAGGTGTGTGTACACCCCCTGCGATATTGGGAGTGAGATCATCCTCTCCACCTAGGAAATGACTAACAAGGTCACGGGGGGATGTACTCCCCCTGCGATATTGGGAGTAATGTCGTCCTCCCCAAACTTGGATGTTAGCAATGAGATCACAGAGGGGGTGTACACACCCTGCGACATTGGAAGTAATATGATCCTCTCCCCACCTGGATACTGGGAAAGATACCACAGCGCGGGTATACGTTTCCTACGTTGTTGGGAGTAATATCATTCTTTTCCTTTCTGGATATTAGGAAGAATATCACAGGGGTGCTGTACAATTACTTCGATATGGGAAGTAATATCATACTCTATTTTCCTGGATATTGGGCGCAAAAACACAAAAGGGTGTACAACCCGTGCGATATTCGGAGTAATAGCATACTCTCCTTCCCTGGATGTCAGAAAACAATATCATCAGGGCTGAACACCCCCCGCGATAATGGGAGTCATGTTTACTCTTTCACAGGCCATTTGGAACAATATCACAGGGGGTGTTTACAAACAGGGGTGGTGTACACCCCCTGTGATATTGGGAGTAACATCATTCTCTCCACCTCTGGATATTAAGAACAATATCCCGGCGGGAGGTGGTACACCCCCAGTGATATTGCGAATAATGTCATCCTCTCCTTCCCTGGATATTAGGAACAATATCACAGGGGGGTGTACACCTTCTGTGATATTGGAAGCAATATCATCCTCTCCCCCGCTGGATATTAGAAAAAAATATCATTCACGGTGTACACCCACTGAGATATGAGGAGTAATATCTTCCTAGGGTACTACGAATAATTTCACAGTCTGTACACACATGGTGTACACTCACTGTGATATTAGGAGTAATATCTACCTAGTAGATAACAAATAACATCGCAGGGTGTACACCCACTTTGATATTAGCTGTAATTTTTTTTAAGTTGTTACAAATAAGATCACAGGGTGTACAAACATGGTGTACACACACTGTGATATCAGGAGTCGTATCTCTGTAATATATTATGAATAATATCACAGGGTGTACACCCACTGTATTATTAGAAGTAATATCTCTGTAGGATATTACAATTAAGATCACAGGGTGTAGAGCCACCGTGATATTAGGAGCAATATCTTTCTAGGATATTACAAATAATATCACAGGGTGTATGGCCACTCTGCTGTCAGGAGCAATATCTCCCTAGGATACCAAAAATCCTATCACAGGGTGTCCAATCTCTGCCTTCCAGGTTCTAAGGGATTCTCCTGCTTCAGCCTCCCGATTAGCTAGGATTACCCGCCACCACGCTCTCCTGATTTTTTTTTTTTTTTCACTGGAGACGGGGTTTCACCACGTTGGCCAGGCTGGTCTGGAACTCCTGACCTCAGGTGACCCATCAGCCTCGGCCGCCCAAAGTGCTCGGATTACAGGTGTGAGCCATGGTGCTGGGCCAAGAGTTCTATATTCAATTCATTTGGAAACACAGCTCCCATCTTTGAGTGAGCATGTACTTTTATGAAGAAACGATGTCAGAAAACCGAAGCATGATAATAAATATGAAAAGTAACAGGCATGTGAAAAGGTCTTCCGATTGAGAACTATAAGGTTCAATGTCGTTTTCAGATAATGGGGTCCTAGCTCTTGTGTCGTCCTTTTACATATTCTACATCCATGCAAGTTGTAGCACAGTGTCAGAATAAAGTAGAGTGTGTTTCACGGCTTCTTAATTTCTTTCAATTAGACTGAGATCTTTTTCTTAAAGAGAGAAGGACATTGTCATTGCGTTGTATTTTTTCTGAAAAGAGTAGGCCATATTTTACTGAGATCACGGATTTGTTATATATGACGTTTTGGTCTTCTAATATTCTTCAGTGGATTTTCTCTAAAGTAGTATGTACAGAAAGCCTTGTACAGCAAAAAAGTAAATCACGTAATAATTCTGAGATTTTTGGAATTGTCACAGCTGAGAAACATTGCTGGCGGTGTATGCTCCGCAAGTGTGAAGATGTTCCTTGTGAATTGCTTGCATCCAGCATTAAGGGCTGGTTTTTATCTTTTATTTTTCCAATCCTCTTTCCTTCTCAAGGTGTCCAAGACACAGAGAGCCACGGAATCTCACAGGTGTCTGAGAATTCCTCCTCCTGGGACTCTCAGAGGATCCAGAACTGCAGCCGTCCTCGCTTTGCTGTCCCTGTCCCTGTCCATGTATCTGGTCACGGTGCTGAGGAACCTGCTCAGCATCCTGGCTGTCCGCTCTGACTCCCCCCTCCACACCCCCATATACTTCTTCCTCTCCAACCTGTGCTGGGCTGACATCGGTTTCACCTCGGCCACAGTTCCCAAGATGATTGTGGACATGCAGTCGCATAGCAGAGTCATCTCTCATGCAGGCTGCCTGACGCAGATGTCTTTCTTGGTCCTTTTTGCATGTATAGAAGGCATGCTCCTGACTGTGATGGCCTATGACTGCTTTGTAGCCATCTGTCACCCTCTGCACTACCCAGTCATCGTGAATCCTCACCTCTGTGTCTTCTTCGTTTTGGTGTCCTTTTTCCTTAGCCTGTTGGATTCCCAGCTGCACAGTTGGATTGTGTTACAATTCACCATCATCAAGAATGTGGAAATCTCTAATTTAGTCTGTGACCCCTCTCAACTTCTCAAATTTGCCTGTTCTGACAGCATCATCAATAGCATATTCATATATTTCCATAGTACTATGTTTGGTTTTCTTCCCATTTCAGGGATCCTTTTGTCTTACTATAAAATCATCCCCTCCATTCTAAGGATTTCATCATCAGATGGGAAGTATAAAGCCTTCTCCACCTGTGGCTCTCACCTAGCAGTTGTTTGCTGATTTTATGGAACAGGCATTGGCATGTACCTGACTTCAGCTGTGTCACCACCCCCCAGGAATGGTGTGGTGGCATCAGTGATGTACGCTGTGGTCACCCCCATGTTGAACCTTTTCATCTACAGCCTGAGAAACAGGGACATACAAAGTGCCCTGTGGGGGCTGCACAGCAGAACAGTCGAATCTCATGATCTGTTCCATCCTTTTTCTTGTGTGGGTGAGAAAGGGCAATCACATTAAATCTCTACATCTGCAAATCCTGCCCCTTAGTCACACTATTTTTGTGGCTTGATGGCTTTTATTCCTTTCCGCATTTCCTTTGTGAATATTGCTCTCTTCGTTATGCCTTTAACTGGAATGGGTGAGGATTCTGGGATCCTTTGTTTAGCAGAAACCTCATGACAGGATCCTCTCTACCTAGGCGGCCTCTTTTAGTTTCTGAGCAATAACCCTGTCATCCAGGTGGAATCACAACCATCTTTTTATATACACAAAGTCCTCACTTCGTTTTGGAATTCCCTGAAAACTGACTTTATGGAAACAATGTACAGGAGGTCCTCCAACACCATTGGTTGTTCAAAGTTGTGGTTATACTCTTGATGAAAAATAAGTGGTTTCACTATACATAATTTTGCTTCAAGGTGAAGTTTCCAAGAGACTTTCAAAGGTGTTAAGTGAGGACGTACTGTACATCAAATTCATATCCTCTTCCAGAGTTCATGTGGAATTTCTTTATAAACTGCTTCTAGAGAATCTATTTAGGCAGGTTATGTGTAGAGATCCATGTCGCCGTTCCTCAGTCTTGGCTTTGAGTCAAATCAGCTGGGGAGCTTACACATGATGAGGCCTGGGTCTCAATACCCGAGATTCTGATTTCCTTGTACCTGTGTGAGTATGTGGATTTTTTTTCTTTTAAAGCACCAGAGGTGGTTCCAATGACAAAGTTTTTAGAGGCATCAAGCTCCAATGAGTAAGAACAGAAATTAATTGTAATATGATTTCTTCAAATATTATCTTCAAATGCATTGTCCATCAACACCATACAAATGTTTATTATGCTGTTTTTTCTTACCATTTCGCATTTTCTATTTCTTTCTTCCTTTTCCTTTTTTTTTTTTTTTGAGTCAGAGTTTCACTCTTGTTGCCCAGGCTGGAGTTCAATGGCACGGTCTCGGCTCACTGCAACCTCTGCCTCCCATATTCAAGCAATTCTCCTGTCTCAGCCTTCCAAGTAGCTGGGATTACAGGCATGCGCTACCATGCCTGGCTAATTTTTTTTTTTTTTTTTTTTTTGTATTGTTAAGAGAGAGACAGTGTTTCTCCATTTTGGTGAGGCTGGTCTTGAACTCCCGACCTCAGGTGATCCGCCCGCTTCCGCCTCCCAAAGTGCTGGGATTACAGGCATGAACGACCGCGCCCAGACACCACTTAGCATTTACATTTTACATTTGTTAAAGTTATAGATTTATACACACATTGATTGCTGCTTTGTTATACACTTGCATATACATAAGATGGGAAATAGAAAAGAATAAAATGGGCACAGTATCCCTGAAGTTTCACATTCTGAGACATTTTAAAAATATTTGCTCTTCAGAAATTTGTTTCAATTAAGAAACTGTGGTATACACACCCGGTGAAGTATGATTCAGCCTAAAAAGGAAGAAACTCCTCTCCGCTGCGGACAAAATGGATGAGATTGCAAGTATGTATATTAAATGAAATAAGCCCAGCACTGAATGACAAATATTTCACATCCTCACTTCTATGTAGAAAGAAAAAAGGAAACCTTGGCCAGGTGTGGTGGCTCAGACCTGTAATCCCAGCACTGTGGGAGGCCGAGTCGCACGGATCACTTGAGTCCAGGAGTTCGAGACCCGCCTGGCCAACATGATGAAACTCCGTCTCTACGGAAAACACAAACAATGAGCCGGGCGTGGTGACGCGTGCCTGTAGTCTCAGCTACTCGGAGAGCTGAGGCCCAAGAAGCGCTTGAACTCGGGAGGCGGAGCTTGCAGTGAGCCCGGATTGTGCCTGTGTACTCCAACCTGGGCAACAGAAAGAGACTCCATCACACACCTACACACAAAAGGAATCTCAGGAAGGTGGAAACTATAAAGGTGATTAGCAGATGCTAGGAAGCAAAGGGGTGGAATCCGGAATGAAGACAAGTGGATAATTGGGTCCCAAAATACTGAAAGATGGAATAAGTGAGTTCTAGTGTTTGATAGTACAGTATGAAAATTTTAGTTCACAAAAATTGCTTGCATATTTCCAGATGCTTTGGTAAGAAGCTTCCTAACTTTCTCATTATACTGGTTTTTAAGCTCTTCTCTTTCTGCTACTGAAATGATGCTGGCTTTTTGATTTTGTTTTTTGTTTTGAGATGGAGTTTCGCTCTTGTTGCCCAGGCTGGAGTGTCACGGTGCAATCTTGGCTCATCGCAACCTCTGCCTCCTGGGTTCAAGCGATTCTCCTGCCTCCACCTCCCGAGTAGCTGGGATTACACGCATGCAGCAGCACGCCCAGCTAATGTTGTATTTCTAGTAGAGACGGGGGTTTCTCCCTGTTGGTCAGGCTGTTCTTCAACTCCTGACCTCAGGTGATCTGCCCGCCTCGGCCTCCCAAAGTGCTGGGATTACAGGCGTGAGTGACCGCGCCCGGCCCATGCTGTATCCTGATCTGTTGTCTCTTGCTGTTTGTTTGTTTTGGAGCCCGGAAATAACTTCTCACCTATATGTTCAAATGGTTTTTCACATGAGTGCTAAGAAAGCTCATTGGTGGAAAGCAGCCTTTTCAAGAAATGGTGTTGGAGAAACTTGATTTCCATAAGCACAAGACTGAAGGTGGACCCTATGTCACACCAGGTGCAAAAATTAACGCAAACTGGATCAAAGACCTCACCCTAAGCGCCAAAAGTATCATACGCCTAAAAGAAAAGATTGGCCACAATTTCATGACATCAGATTGGGCAATGTTCTCTGGGATATGACACCAAAAGCATAGGCAACAAAATTAGATTCCTTGGATTACATCTAAATGACAGACCCTTTTGTGCAGCAAAAAACACTGTGAACTGAGTGAAACGATAACCCAAGGATTAGGAACAATATTTGCAAAGCATATATCTGAAAAGAGGCTGATATCCATCGTATATGAAGAACAGCTAGAACTAAACCACAAGAAACCCAAAGCATCCCATCAACAATGGCCAGAAGACTCGAGTAGATGTGTCCCTAAAGAAGATATAGCAATGGCCAATAAGCATCTAAAATGATGTTCAAAATCACTCATCATAGGGAAGCGCAAATCAAACCAATCATGTGATACCACACATTAGAATGGATATGATAAACAAACAGGCATTGGTGAGACTAGAGGGAAGTAGGAATGCTCAAATGTGATTTGAGGGAATGTAAAACCGTGAAGGAACGGGGAAAATAGTATGGTGTGTGCTTGAAAAATTAGAAACAGAATGATCAGATGTTCCCGCAGTTGCATTTGTGGGTACCTACCAAAAAGAATTAGAAGCCAGGAGTGGAAGACAGATTTGTGTACACCCATATTCATAGCAGCATTATTCACAACAGCCAAAATGTGGAAGCAATTCAAGGGTTCGTGGACAGATGAATGAAAAAGCACACTGCAGTTCCTTCATACAATGGAAGACTATTCAGCCTTAAAAAAGCAGGCACTTCTGGCCGGTGCGGTGGCTCACACCTGTAATCGCAGCGTCTTGGAAGACCGAGGTGGGCGGATCACCTGAGGTCAGGAATTCAAGACCAGCCTGGCCATCTTGGTGAAACCCTGTCTCTACTCAAAATGCAAAAAATGAGACGAGCGTGGTGGCGTGTGCCTATAGTCCCAACTACTCAGGAGGCTGAGGCACAGGAATGGCTGGAACCCGGGAGGCGGAGGTTACAGTGAGCCCAGATTGTGCCACTGCACTCCAGCCTGTGCGACAGAGTGAGATTCCATGGAAACACAAAACAAAACAAAGTCAAACGAACAAAGAAAAAACTAACAAACAAAAAAAAAAAAAACAGAGAGGCACTTCTGACGCAGGCTGCAACATGGATGAACCTTGAAAACATTATCGTCAGTGAAATAAATAAATCCCAAAAGGATAAACACTCCCAGGCTCAGTGGCTCGCACCTGTAACCCCAGCACTTTGGGAGGCTGAGCCAGGCGGATCACTTCAGGTCAGGAGTTCGAGACCAGCCTGGCCAATATGGGCTCTATTAAAAATACAAAAATTAGCTGGGCGTGGTGGCGCACAGCTGTAATCCCAGCTACTCGGGAGACTGAGACACAAGAATCGCTTGAACCCATGATGTGGAGGCTGCAGTGAGGTGACATCACGCCACTGCACTCCAGCCGGGGTGACAGAGAAAGACTCTGTTTCCAAAACAAAAAAATTAAACACGGTATGATTCCACTTATCTATCAAGTGTCTAGAGTAGTTAAATTCATAGAGTTGCAAACTAGAAAGGTGGCCCCTAGGGGCGGGCGAGAGAGAGGAGTGGAGAGCTTGGTGAATGGGTGCAATTTCCATTTTGAAAGATAAAACTGTTCCAGAGACGATGATGGTGATGGTTGCTAAACAATGTGAACGTACTTCATGTCATGAAACTGTAAAGTGAAAAAGCATGGAAACTGTAAAGGTTTATACTGGCCATTCTATATGAACTAATATATATTTATAATTTTTAATATTTATACGAGGTATATTTTCCCATAATAAAAGATGAAAATTAAAGCAGTTGGATGTTTAAAAAGAAAAGAAAGAAGCGAAGAATACACACCAGCTTTCTCCTGATTAGAGGAAGAGCCCCAAAGCTTCTATGGACACTCACTTTTCTCTTCTTCTTCTTGCATTATTATGAGGAAATCCTTAGAGGTTGGGGAAGTTGGGTGACTTTGGCTAATAAGGAGCTCTGTGCCTTGAGCCCCCCAGGCCACAAAATAGTAAATAGTCAGTCTGTGCCTCCAGCCCTGTAGTGTGAGGTTCCAGTCCTGTGGGCTCCACTCCCGTCACCTGTATCAAGAGGCTCACGTCTCACCCTGTCTTCTTGCCAGCCTTGAGGATGGAGTCTGAGCCTCCATGTTGCACCACACAGGGAGGACAGTGGACCTGTTCTCCATGGTCATGGCCCAGCAGAGGGGAAGGGCAGTTCAGTGAGTGTAGGGAAAAGAAAGAGAGATCAGACTCTTACTGTGTCTATGTAGAAAGGAAAGACATAAGAGACTCCATTTTGAGAAAGACCTGTACTTTCAACAATTGCTTTGCTGAGATGTTGTTAATGTGTAGCTTTGCCCCAGCCACTTTGACCCAACCTGAAGCTCACAAAAACATGTGTTGTATGAAATCAAGGTTTAAGGGATCTAGGGCTGTGCAGGACGTGCCTTGTTAACAAGATGTTTCCAAGCAGTATACTTGGTAAAAGTCATCGCCATTGTCTAGTCTCAATAAACCAGGGGCACAATACACTGTGGAAAGCCGCAGAGACCACTTCCCTTGAAAGCGGCATATTGTCCAAGGTTTCTCCCCATGTGATAGTCTGAAAAGTGGCCTCATGGGAGGAGAAAGACCTGACCGTCCCCGAGCCCAACACCAGTAAAGGGTCTGTACTGAGGTGGATTAGTCAAAGAGGAAAGCCTCTTGCAGTTGAGAGAGGAAGGCCGCTGTCTTCTGCCTGCCCCTGGGAACTGAATGTCTCGGTATAAAACCCAATTGTACATTTGTTCAATTCTGAGATGGGGGAAAAACCGCCCTATGGTGGGAGGTGAGACATGTTGGCAGCAATGCTGCCTTGTTATTCTTTAGTCCGCTGAGATGTTTGGGTGGAGAGAAACATAAATCTGGCTTACGTACACGTCCAGTCATAGAACCTTCCCGTGAACTTCATGATGACATAGATTCTATTGCTCACATCTTCGTTGCTGACCTTCTCCTTATTATCACCCTGACTCCTACTACATTCCTTTTTGCTAAAATAATAAAAATAATAATCAATAAAAACTGAGGGAACTCAGAGGCCAGTGCCGGTGCAGGTCCTTGGTATGCTGAGCGCCGGTCCCCTAGGCCCACTGTTGTGTCTCTACACTTTGTCTCTGTGTCTTACTTTTTTTCTCAGTCTCTCATCCCACCTGACTAGAAATACCCACAGGTGTGGAGGGACAGGCCACCCCTTCAAGTGAGTGCTGAGGGACGGTCGGGAACCTTGTTTGTTTCCTCATCCTTAGGACGTACTGGAGACTGCGGTGGGCAGATGTGAGGAGAGCAATATGCAAACTCTGTGCTCAGCATACTGGAATTTCTGTTCTTGGTTGTGGTGGGGGTCTCAGAAATCTTATTCAAAATTTTGCTTTCCTCCCCCACTGGTTGTCCTTTTTATAGACATCTCACCCATGATAGCAGGGAATCAGTCCCTCTAAACTATTCCCTAAGAACAAAAAAGAGATTATGAAGGTGATGAGGATAAAGAGGATGACGACAGACACCATGGCATCATGAACCCTTACTGAGGGCTTACTGAAGGCCTGGCTCTGAGCTCTGTGCTCTATGCAGCTTGTTTCATTTCATCTGCATAGTCTCCATGTTATTAGTTCACATTTCATGATGATTTTACAGACTAGAAAAGGAGCAACGGATTTTCATGTAGCTTGTACCAGATCACGAAGTCAGAAAGGGTGAAGTCCAATTTGAACCAGGCAGTCTAAGTCCAGACACATGGCATTTGGCCAGTCCTCTCCCTGCATCCAACCTGCCCTCTCAAATCCTTGTCACTCAGGCCGATGCCCCTGCTCACTCTGCTCTTCCCTTTGGAGGTTCATTGTAGACCACAGCTAGACCAGTGGGTGCCACAATCACTGTGTCATGTTTAGAAGGGGCAGCTGAGATCACATCGAGGATTCCAGAAGGAATTGGCACAGGATCATTCGGGACGCATATCTCCCTTGTCCCTGTTCCTGGCTTTCCTTACAGTTCTTGACTTCCTCAAAGGAGTCATCAATTCAGCGTTTGGCTTCCATTCCTATTGAGGAATCTGGAAAGTGTTTCAAAAATGCTCCTCCGATGTGCCTGTGGTTAAGACCTCTGAGCTCTGCTTAAATCGTTTGGAAGCTGGGCGCGGTGGCTCACACGTGTAATCCCAGACTTTTGAGAGGCTGAGGCAGGCGAATCACAAGGTCAGGAATTCGAGACCAGCCTGGCCAACATGGTGAAACCCTGTCTCTACTAAAAATACAAAAAAAAGAAGAAAATTAGCCAGGCACGGTGGCGTATGCCTGTAATCCCAGCTACTGGGGAGGCTGAGGCAGGAGACTCCTTTGAAGCCGGGAGACAGAGGTTGCAGTGAACCGAGATCACGCCACTGCACTCCAGCCTGGGCAACACAGCAAGACTCTGTCTTAAAAAAATAAATAAATAAAAATTATGAAACAATGTGCTTGGATGGGCTTGGCAAACTTTAGCCATTAGCTCACGTACCACTTTGGAAGGGCATACCTTCAGTCACTTCGCCCTTTAATCCCTTTGCTCAAGACTAAAGTTCTGAGAGGAAGTCTAATCGGCTGAGTTGTGTCCATGTGGGCAGTGCAGGAAAGGGTGCAGCGGGAGGCGGCTCCAGGGATGTTTTTGGCTTCCATCATGGGGGAGCAGACGCCTGGATTATCCACCCTAACACATCTGGACAAAGGAAAATGAGGTTCTCTGAGGAAGGAGACATAGAGCCCAAGGAGCTAACTAAGAGACAAACAGTCATCCTGTCTTGTCACTTTCTTTTACACACGTGTGTACATTATCTTACACTTATCACTTTGTTTTCTTTCTCTCCTTTAATTGTACCCTGCTGCCAAAAGTTAAAATAAAATGAAAGTATTGAGATAGCTCGGTAACTGACTTTTGGTCAATTGCCTTTTCATATAGTGAACAGCTGCCCAAATCACACTGACAGAGACAGTGATTGTCTCTGTCTCTGTGCAAATTTGCAAGCGTTTGCATGATCACTCCCAATCCCCCAACACAGGGCTGTGTTACAGCACAATTTAGTTCAGTGTTTTGCTCTCTGCAACAGGGAGGTTCTCATCCATTACAGGTTGCAGTAAAAACAGGGGTACCATAAGCAACCACCTCTTTCCTCAACGATATGATGAAAGCAAAAGCCAAGTAGCTCCATGTATCCAACTTAAAAAAAAAAATTACGCCCGTGGGCTGCAGTTAGAGCTATGGCGGCGGCAGCTGTCACTGGGCCTAGCCCGGGGTGTGGACCTGGGGACTCCGCAGAAGGCCCCGGTGGGGAGGTTCACGGAGCGTCGGCGGAAGGCGCACAGGATGCTAAAGCTTTACAACGGCCTCTCAGAATGGGAGGCGGTGGGACTCCCCGCTGGGCCCGACCCCCTGGACCCCACTGATCTGAATGGGGCACACTTCGACCCGGAAGTTTAACTAGACAAGCTGCCTAGAGAGTGCCCTCTGGCCCAGCTGATGGACAGTGAGACGGACATGGTGCAGCAGATCCGGGCTCTAGACAGCGACATGCAAACCCTGGTCTATGAGAACTACGATAAGTTCATCCCAGCCACAGAAATTGACAAACAGCATAAAACTCTATGAGGAACTGCAGGAGACCCAGAATTTCCCAAATAACCTTGTAGAAGAGGAACAAAGTTGGAAGACTCACAAAAAAAAATATACATATATATATAAAGTTGTGTTTTCATTCAGTTGTAAATGTTTAGTAATTTCTATTGTAATTTTTCATTTAACTCATGAAAGGATATTTTTAATTTTCCAAATGTATGCTTGTGTTTAGCTATCTTCTTGCTGTTGACTTCTAATTTTGTTGCATTATGGTCAGGAAAATCTGGTCTGGACAATGTCAATAGTATAGTGGATTTTGTTGAGACTTCTTTATGGCCTAATATGTGGCCAGTTGTTTTTCTTTTTTTGGTTTTTTTTTTTTGTTTTTTTCTTTTTACAAATTTGCCACATGTGGTTAAAAGGAATGTGGATTATTTGTTTTTTTTAGGAGAGTTTTTATTTTTAAATAGATAAGGTTCTCAGTGTAATTGAAATCTAGCTTCAATTAACAATATGCTAGATCTCTCAAAGCTTAGGATGTTAGTCAGTGTAACAATAGACTGCTGCTGAGACGAATAAACCCTGAACTCTCAGTGGGTTGGCACCCATAGCATAGTCTGGTGCAGGGCAGGGGTTCTCCTTGGGGTCCCTTGTCCAACAGTGATTCAGAGATTCTGGAGGTTTCCATCTTTTAATTCTGCCATCTCAGAGTTTTTCACTTGTAGCCATATGGATAGGAAGAGAGGGAACATAGCTCACACTTGCCTTTGATAGCCTTGGCCCAGAAGGGATTTCTTACATTCCTATTCATGGAAATGCAGTCACATGGTTCCAAACTAACTGCAAGTGAGGCTGGGAAATGTAGTCTTTCTGCATGTCCAGGAAGAGGAATGGTGTGAACACAGCATTGTCTTTGACACTCTAAGCATGTGCTAAAGAGTTCTTACTCTTATAGGAGTTTTGTCTGTCCTGTGTAACTTTCTCAGTTTTTGCTTAGATAGTTTCAGGCAATGTTGTTTGGTGCACTCAGCTTGATGATTATTATGTCCTCTTGGCAAAGTAGGCAAGATTCCCACCAGTTTGAATGAAAGTGTTTTACAGATAGGTCAGGAAATGTTAATACTTTAAAAGGCTGTTCTATTCCTCCACTCTACAGATAAGAACAACAGAGTCCTAGAGAGAGGAGGTCATGGGTCTCACTCATGAGTGGCAGAATTGAAACCAACATGGCAGTAACTTTGCCTTTCCCCCATCATGTTTTTCTCCCTCTAACTTCACTCTGCTGATTTCTTCACTTGCTCCATACAGACTTCCTAGTGCCAAGTGTATAAGTGTGTCCGGAATTGGTGGGTTCTTGGTCTCATTGACTTCAAGAATGAAGCCACAGACCCTCCTGGTGAGTGTTACAGTTCTTAAAGGTGGCATGTCTGGAGTTTGTTCCTTCTGATGTTCAGATGTATTCGAAGCTTATTCCTTCTGGTGGGGTTCGTGGTCTCGCTGGCTCAGGAGTGAAGCCGCAGACCTTCACGGTGAGTTTTACAGCTCTTAAGACTGCACGTCTGGAGTTGTTCATTTCTCCCAGTGGGTTCATGGTCTCACTGGCTTCAGGAGTGAAGCTGCAGACCTTCTCAGTGAGTGTTACAGCTCATAAAGGCAGTGTGGACCCAAAGAGTGAGCAGCAACAAGATGTATTGCAAAGAACAAAAGAACAAAGCTTCCACAGTGTGGAAGGGGACCCCAGCAGGTTGCCACTGCTGGCTCGGGCAGCCTGCTTTTATTCTTTTACCTGGCCCCACCCACATCCTGCTGATTGGTCCATTTTACAGAGAGCCTGAGTGGTCTGTTTTGACAGGGTGCTGATTGGTGCATTTACAATCCCTGAGCTAGACACAAAGCCTCCCCACGTCCCCACTAGATTAGCTAGATATAGAGTCTCCACACAAAGGTTCTCCAAGTCCCCACCAGAGTAGCTAGATACAGAGTGTCAATTGTTGCATTCACAAACCCTGAGCTAGACAGAGGGTGCTGATTGGTGTGTTTACAAACCTTGAGCTAGATACAGAGTGCCGATTGGTGTATTTACAATCCCTTAGCCAGACTTAAAGGTTCTCCAAGTCCCCACCAGACTCAGGAGCCCAGCTGGCTTCACCCAGTGGATCCCACACAGGAGCCGCAGGTGGAGCTGCCTGCCAGTCCCTCTTCATGTGCCCGCATTCCTCAGCCCTTGGGTGGTTGATGGGACTGGGCGCTATGGAGCAGGAGGCAGTGCTCGTCGGGGAGGCTCAGGCTGCACAGGAGCCCACGGAGGGGGGAGGCTCAGGCATGGCGGGCTGCAGGTGCCAAGCCCTGCCCCACGGGGAGGCAGCTAAGGCCCAGTGAGAAGTCGAGCACAGCAGCTGCTGGCTCAGGTGCTAAGTCCCTCACTGCCCAGGCCGGCAAGGCCGGCCGGCAGCTCCTAGTGCGGGGCCACCAAGCCCACGCCCACTCGGAACTCCAGCCGGCAGGCAAGCAGCACGCATAGCCCCGGTTCCAGCTCACACCTCTCCCTCCACACCTCCCTTCAAGCTGAGGGAGCCAGCTCTGACCTTGGCCAGCCCAGAAAGGGGCTCCCACCGTGCACCCGCGGGCTGAAGGGCTCCTCAAGTGCCGCCAAAGTGGGAGCCCAGACAGAGGAGGTGCCGAGAGTGAGTGAGGGCTGTGAGGGCTGCCAGCACGCTGTCACCTCTCATAAGGAGTGATTAATCTGAGCTTCTCCAGAAAGTCCATTCCTGGTAGGCACTGGGAATAAGAAATCTCAGAGTATAAAAAAAATCAAGTGGTAGCACTTTTGTGAATGGCTCCCAAATTAGATCCTTTACCTTTTTTCTTTTCATGAAGCACAGTTGCACAAAACACGCTTAGCCTGAGATGAAGCACATATTAGAGAAAGGTTCTCTCTATAGCATTATGTATTACTCGAATGAGCATTAAAAAGAGGAGATGGGACATGCTCTCTCTAGCTATTATTACCTCCACTGTACAGTTGACATACACAAGCTCATTATTGCATTATGTTTTATTCAACAAAATAACTTTAATGTTGAAGTTTAAATTGAATTTGCTAAAACATCTTTGTCTCCAGCATAATGTGCCTCAAGTGTCTTCTTGGTGCCTGAATTTTCTCCAGAATTATAGTGCTGAAGCTATGGAAATGGTGAAATTATATGCAATCTGCAAAATAATGTGGCTATAACGTGGTAATTGGCCTTCTGCATAATTAAAGGAACATTTCCTCATCAGAGCTGTTCCATCAGAGACCCAAAGGCTATCGTTGTACAAATCACCCACTTAGGAAAACCTTTATTCCCAGTAGCCTATAAAAGTCTGGTTATGAAAACAGATTTGCTTATTCAGTAACAGTAATGGCTTCTCATAGTTAAAAAGTCATCAATGTGATTGACCTATAATCTGTTTCCTCTGTGACCAAGTGTCATTTTTATTTTGACAGTTGGGAGCCTTTTGGCTCTTTCACAGCTGGCATGAAGGCACAGGGAGGGAAATCTCAAAAACCAACAACCTGTGTATTCCCAGCCTCTTAATCAATAGAAAATCACTTCAACTGGATTAGGGTCTTGTACCTGGCAGAAAGGCTCTTATGGACATTGGAATTGGATTTTTACACTAGATATGACACCTCCTTGAGTCAGATCACATTGATTTTTGATAGACTCTTGCCGAAAAATTGCTCCAGGGTCTGTGCAGTAGCTAAAGCCTTTTTGTTGTTGTTGATGTTTTAAAAGCAGCATTAGATGTTTTCATGAAGACTTTCCCAGCAGTGATTTCATTGGGAATATGGTCTTTAGCTCTGGTCCTGAATAACTCACACTGAGGAAACCTCTAACAAGTGTTTTATTGGAAGATGTCTGATGGATGGTTGGTTTTAATAACAAATCTCTTCCCTTTTTCAAAATTTGTTTCAAAATAACAAATCTTTCCCTTGTGTTCTATTCTCCTTTCTCTACACATTATTCAGGGAGGATTCACCTATTCCCAAAGTCCTTTCCTCTTTATTTCCATTCCAGAGCTCTCTGTATAACTCCAGGCTGATGAATCCAACTGCCCAGTTGTTATCTCCACTTGGCTGTCTGTCTTGCATTGACCTCATCTTACCTTGCCTCTCCTGATTTCCTCTTCTGCCTGGGCTCACCACATCAGATTCACACCACCATCCACCCAGCTTCCAAAACACCTGGGCCTCATCCTGCATTCCTCCCTCTTTCTCAGTCAAGTTAGTCTACTGTCTCCTCTCCATCCTCACTGCCACAGCCTTGGTCCAGCCAACCATCTTGTCTCACTTGTTGTATTGCAGCCTCCTACCTGGTCTACTCACCTCC
The DNA here is from genome assembly GCF_000001405.40 of Homo sapiens. NCBI lineage: Eukaryota > Metazoa > Chordata > Mammalia > Primates > Hominidae > Homo > Homo sapiens. The sequence continues at coordinate 130,008,813 of NC_000003.12, read as the reverse complement.
CACTCTCCTCCAGCCAGACTGCTCTTTTTATAGCACAAAGTGGATCATTACTCCCCTGCCTAAAAACATCTACTGTCTCCCTTTGTCTACAGGATAAACACGACAAAGAGCCTTTAAGATGTGGCTCCAACTTACCTCTATATTAGTCACTTTTTATAATTATATGAACATCTCTCAGCTCCTCACCCTCTCACGTCTCGATTTTTGCACATGCTCTTCCCTCTGCTGGGAATGATCTTCCACACCTCTCCTATCGACCTGGCTAATTCCTACCATTTTCTAGTCTTCAACTGAGGAGTCCTGTGGTGGAGAAGGATTTCTGACCACCTGATAGAGATTGAATGCCCACCCATCTCCTGGCTTTTTTTTTTTTTTTTTTTTTTTTTTTTTTTTTTTTTTTTGACGGAGTCTCGCTCTGGCCATCCAGGCTGGAGTGCAGTGGCGTGATCTTGGCTCACTGCAATCTCCACCTCCCGGGTTCAAGCAATTCTCCCACCTCAGCCTTCTGAGTATCTGGAATTACAGGTGCCCGCCACCACACCCGGCTAATTTTTTTGTATTTTTAGTAAAGACAGGATTTCACCATGTTGGCCAGGCTGTTTTCAAACTCCTGGCCTCAAGTGATCCACCCACCTTGGCCTCCCAATGTGCTGGGTTTACAGGCATGAACAACTGCACCTGGCCGATTGGGTGCCCCTTCTTTGTGCTCCCACTGCCCCAGGCATACTGTCACCATAACTCTTACCATTCTGAGTTGAAAATGATTTTTTTTTTTGCTTTTTATTTCTCTCATTAAGTGCAAAGCTCATTGAAAAGAGGATGGTGGTTGTTCACTGTTGCACTCCTAACCTTGGACTCAGTGTCCTGAGTTCGGCTCTAGAGCTGTGCACACATGTTCAGACATTGGAGCACATCTTGTCTAGTGCCTCTTTTGAGGTGGCTTGGAGAAAAGTCAGTAGGTACTTCCCCAAGGATGAAACAGAAGCTTCACCTAAATCAGGAGTTCTTCAACTTCAGCCTGCATTAGAATCCTCTGAGAGCTTGTTAAAAATACAGTCTCCTAGAGCCCACTCTTCAAGAGTCAGTGAGTTGCTTCATCATCAAAATGTATACAGAATCCAGCCGGTCTTCAGCACCAGCCTCGTCTGAGCCACTGTGGACTCCCACCTGCAGAATCTCACTGCTGGTCTCCTTGCTTCTGCTCTTACCTTCTTATCATCCATTCAAGTAGCCAGGGTGATCCTTTTTAAAAATTTTTTAAAAATTTTTTGAGATGAAGTCTCACTCTATTACCCAGGCTGGAGTGCAGTGGTGCTATCTCAGTTCACTGCAGTCTCTAACTCCTGGGCTCAAGCCATCCTCCCACCTCAGCCTCCTGGGTAGCTGGGACCACAGGCATACACCACCACACCTGGCTGATTTTTGTATTTTTTTAAAGACAGGGTCTTGCTATGTTGCCCAGGCTAGTCTTGAACTTCTGTGTGCGCCCACCTCAGCCTCCTGCATTTTTAGGAGGCCCCTCTTGTAGGGATTTTGATGCAGATGCCTGGGTGCCTCATGTCTCCTCCCATCTCTCTCTGTCTTTCTGTCTCTGTCTCTGTCTCTCTCTCTTTCTGTTTGCCTTATAGCTGCCCTGGGGACTAGACTCTGCCTTAGGCATCCCTCTGACTCCTGTTTGCTTTTACACTGAAGCTGCTTTAAGTCGCACCTTGATCTGAAGCCTTGGGCTTCTGCTCCTATTGCTTGCTTTTGTTGGAAGGGCCGTGCAGCTTCTTGACAAATTGCAAAGGTGCTCACAAGTTTCCAAGTCCCCAACAACCAAACCAGATGACAAACAAGGATGCAGCCCACAGCTGGGGAGACAGATTTCATGTCCACACAGAGACTCCAAGATGCTGAACTGAAATCCACCCCGAAACCTGTTTTCTCTCTCATTTAAGTTCAATGTCACCTGGGGGCTTGCAGGGTAGGGCTGGTGACCATTCACAGGGGAAAGATGCTTTGAAATGTCAACTGAGAATTGTGTGGTGGTTGACAGATGGCACGTCAGGGCATAGATTAACATGGAAAGAGAAACTCACCCCTTGGGGGGAGTGTGTGAGGCTGGCAGCCACACAGAGGGCTTTTTCTGCGAGCTCTCGCATACATGCAAACAGCCGGGAGGTTTTGCTTTCTGAGCCTGAGTGGAACCATGTTCCTCCCTGCACATTGCCGCTCTGCAGCAAATGTTTATTCCTGTTGCATTGATTAAAAGTGCTTACCAGGCCAGGCGCGGTGGCTCAAGCCTGTAATCCCAGCACTTTGGGAGGCCGAGGTGGGCGGATCACAAGGTCAGGAAATTGAGACCATCCTGGCTAAAACGGTGAAACCCCGTCTCTACTAAAAATACAAAAAATTAGCCGGGCATGGTGGCGGGCACCTGTAGTCCCAGCTACTTGGGAGGCTGAGGCAGGAGAACGGCATGAACCTGGGAGGCGGAGCTTGCAGTGAGCCGAGATTGCACCACCGCACTCCAGCCTGGATGACGGAGCAAGACTCCATCTCAAAAAAAAAAAAATAAAGTGCTTACTGAAAGGGTTTGAGGGGAGTGGTGACAGTGTGAGTTATGGCTCTGCCGGCTGCCAGTGGAGCCAGCCGCTCTGCACAGCTGTGCAAGGGTGTTTTGAAAAGTGGCTCAGCCAGCCAGGAGTGACTGGGTGTAAGTGTTGCTGCCACAACATCTTGTAGCCTGATTAGAGCCGTATTTGCAGAACCCCTAAACCACTACACTTGTTCAGGCTTAAAAATAAGCTTGCTTTTTTGTTTGTTTGTTTGTTTTGGTTTGTTTTATGAGACGGAGTCTTGTTCTGTCGCCGGGTTGGAATGCAGTGGCATGATCTCAGCCCACTGCAACCTCTGCCTCCTGGGTTCAAGTGATTCTCCTGCCTCAGGCTCCCGAGTAGCTGGGACTACAGGCATGTGCCATCACGGCCAGCTAATTTTTGAACTTTTAGTAGAGATGAGGCTTCACCACGTTGGCCAGGATGGTCCAATCTCTTGACCTCGTGATCTGCCCACCTCGGCCTCCCAAAGTCCTGGGATTACAGGTGTGAGCCACCATGCCTGGCCAAACATAAACTTACTTTCTTACCTCTTCTGCTGAACTCTATTTGCTTCTTTTCCCAAACGTCTTTATCCAAAAGAGCTTTTAGCAACAAAGTTACCCAATGCCCTTCCCTAGTCTCTCCTTGCAACTGGCTCTCAGCAGGGCGTAGGAGGAAATCCTTGACAGAACCAATTTACGTGACTGTTTGGAGGACTCTGGCTAGCCCCAGGAGGTGTTTGCATTTTTAAATAGGTTACTAGTGTCAGAATGTTTCATGAGTAAGAGCCCAGCCTCTATGTTGGAGGCCCTGAATTTGAATCTCAGCATTGCCGCTTTGTATATAACCAGAGGATGGATTTGGGGACCCAATGGATCTACCATGACATGAACTTGCACCAACATTCATCTGACCTCCAAAATGCCTATTCTGACTGGTTGACCCTAGTCTCACCCTAGTGCCAGTTCAGAGCCTGTGTCCAGTGATCCTGCACAGGTCTCATTAGTTCCTTTTCCCCTGTTCAGTCATCCTGGTAAAAGGCTGTGTATTCCTTCAGGGGCAGGCTGGGAGAAAAATTGACAGTATAAATTTTTGGCAGTGGAGCAGAGTCCTTTCTGGAGGGGACCTGGCTTCCCATTCAGACAAGGGACTTCGGGTCTGTGAACTGGCTTATGTCTGGGAATTGACTGGGGACTGTGACTGTTTTTATGATTCAGATTAGACTTCTACTCACCTGACCTAGAACTCTTCTGCAAACACAGATCCAGTAAAAGTGTGGCAGGCTTCTTTTCTATTTCACTTCTAGGAATGCCACGATCAGCTGGCACCATAGGTCTCTGAGAGTCAGGCTATTCTGGTTGCAGCTTTGACTCTGCTGTCTTTTATGGTAACTGCGTCCACCTTGCCTTTGGGGATTGAGTGCTCTGATCACTTGGCCCCAGCCCCTGTAGTGTGCCTATGTCACTTCCCCTCTTTATACCTCAGTCTCCTCCTCTGTAAAATGGGCATCCTAATAGCACCCACCCCCAGGGCTGCTGTGAGGTATAGATGGATTAGCATATGGAAAGTAATAGAAGAGGGTCTCAAAGCCCATGTGTGGTTATCAGAATTATTTCATGACAGGGGAGAGCTGGAGGAGAGAGGAAGGTGCTGAGCAGACCCATGTGCTCCCCCACCAGTGTTTCCTGAGCACCTTCTATGTGCTGCCCACTGTGAGAGCTGTTAGGGTTGAAATAGGGAGCACAGCAGGGTAGGGGCTGCCATCAGGAGCTTAATGGAGAGACCATTGTGCAACATGGTTCCAGCGCTTGGGGTGGGGAAGCTCAGGGAGTACAGGGGCCTAGGATCCTGGGCAGAATCATGGGAAGGACACAGCCTCCCCAGCCTCTCCTGCCTCCACTGCCTCCCGGGCCTCCTCTGCTTCCCTGGCCTCTCCTGCCTTCCTCGCTTCCCCTTCTCCCCCGGGCTCCCCAGTCTCCCCTGTCTCTCCTGCTTTTGAGGTAGGCCAGGAGCTGCTGGTGCTCACTTAGCCTGTCCTGGACTCTTGGTGTAGCACCTCAGTGTCCAGAAAATACCCCCGGGTTCAGCTGATCACACAACCAAAGAAGAAGCTCCACACTGACACTAAGGGTGCATCCTGGGCTCATTCATCAGGGCATGCCTCCAAAATATTTCTCCACCTCTCCTCTCTTTGCCCACCTGCATTGTCTCTGTGCCTGAGCCCTGGCTGGGGGCCTGCAAGGATCCCCTATCTCCTCTGTCCCTGCACGGCTGGGTCCCAGGCAATCTGTCTGCCCACCACACCTCTCTCCCCTCGCCCACCACGCTCCAGCCCCACAGTCCTCCTTCTGCTTCTTTCCCAGCCTCTGGGCTTTTGCACACGCTGTTCCCTCTGCCCGAACATGCTCCACTGGGCTGAGAACAACTCTCTGAGAAGTCTCTCAGCTGTTGCTTCCTTTGGAACAGCCGCTGCTGCTGTCCCTCTCCCAGCTCCAAGACCTGCTGAGCCTCCTGTCTTTTTCAGTTCCCATGCACCCAGCACTTCTCCTTGGCCTCCTTTTGCCCAATTGACAATGTCCGTTCTCAATGCCTCCTCACCCAGCGCCGAGCCCCACTGGGTGAAGGCAATGCCTGTCATGTCCACCACAATATCCCCTCCCCCATCACCACGCCCGGTCCACAGAGATGCTCAAAAAAGATCTGTTGGTAGGCAATGCGAAGGTGCATTCATGTCATCCTGCAGGCGGAATTCTCCACGAGTTTTGAGCAGCCTCGGTTTTCCCACCACCTCCAAATCATGGAAGACACAGGGTAAGAGCAAAGACAAGGTGGCTGTGGCCGATGTCCACCCTCTCGGGGCGTCCCTTCTCTTCTCTCCTCCTTGGGCAGGGAGACCATCGGGGTGCAACCTGGCTGGGGCGGGGTGGAGGTGGAGGGCCTGGCCGGAGCGGGCCTGGCTACGGGCAGGGGACAGCGACCGCCTAGGCCAGGGCAGGTGAGGGCGGCGCAGGCCCCGGCCCGGCGTGTCCGCGGTGCGCGTGAGCGGCCAGCAGAGGGCGCCAGAGAGCCGGGAGCGGCCCGCGGAGGAGCCCGCGCCGGCCCCGATGCCCAGCTCCGCGCCGCGCGGACCCACCGAGCCCGCGCTCAGACGCCCCAGCTCCGCCGAGAGGCCGCTCTCGCCGGGTCCTTCCTCTTCCCCAAGTGCAGGCAGAGCCCCCGGAGCCATGGCCAGCCCTTCCGGCAGCTCCGAAGCCACTGGCAAGCCCCGAGGCAGGGATGGCCGGCCCAGGAGGGAGGAGGACGACGTCCCTCCCGGGGAGAAGAGGCTGCGGCTGTTGCTGGAGGGGGGAAGAGCACAGCCCTAGGACTGCGAGGACGGGGAGGACGCGCCGCGGCCGGGCAGGGAGGAGACCGGCACCCAGACAGGTGGCGACGGCAGAGGAGTAAGTGACGCGGACGCGGGGGTCCGGGGGTGCCGGGGACGCGGGGTAGGGGCGGCGGGAGGCTCCGTGGCCGGCCCCGGGTTGAAGTTGGTAACTGAGCGGCAACTCCGGCGGGCGCGGAGTGACAGCTCGTGACGGCCTCCGAGACGCCAGCTGCCCCTTCTCGGCTGTGTGGCTTCGACTTCCTGATTCTCCCACGACGTCCCTGGCCGGGAGACCCGCTGGACTCTGCGGCTAGCCAAAAGGGGAGGGGGAGCCCCGCGTCCTGGGGGCCCCCAGCAGGGGAAGGGGCGGGGGTTGCGCTGGGCATCCTGTCTGGGGCATCTGTCTGGGACTCTGCCAGTGCCTCTCACCTGGCGAGGGGCTTGTGGCGGGGGTAGGGGGGAAGTCCCTGGCGCCAGGCTTGGCCAAGCCCTGCTCTGCTGGGCTGCGGGCTGGCGGCGCTCACCCAGCTCCTCACCTGCCCCGCATCTTCCTGTTTTTCTTCCCTTTCTGGTTGGGCAGCGGGAGTTGAGAGGAGGCAGATGGCTTCCATCCCAGAAATCGCTCTCCTCTTTCCATTCCTACAGAGAGGGACAGAGAGGGAAAGTTCCTTGCATCCCCCGGGGCGCTGTCCCTGTGAGCTCCCGGTGTCCTGCACACGTGGGCCCCTGAGTCACCGGGCCTGTGTGTGTGCGATGGGGTTCCGTGGCCAGCCTGGCCTCCTGGGGTTCACTTTCTGCTTTCCTACCCCAACTCTTCCTGTGTGGCTTTGCTGGCCTTCCACTGGGGAGGCACGTGGGTTTGGAGGGCAGATGAGGGCCCGCTGGAGAGCTGTACCCCTCAGTGAGGGCCGCCACCTTGACGGTTTTTGATGGATAATGCGGTTGACCTCTTTGTTCCTTCCATATGTTTTTATGTTTGACCATTTGCTCAGCTGAGCTTGTCTTAATCATTTGATTCGTGGTGAATGAGCCCCACATGGGAGAGAGGGCGGCCTTCATTCTGAACCCATTTAAGCAGCACAGGCAGCCCTCTTCGCCATGGGCTGCATCAGAGCCCCCCCTGCCCAGTCTTGGGGTTGCTCCCGAATGCTGTCTGGGAGACTTGCTCATGGTGACATCCTCATCTCCCCCTGCACTTTACTGCATTCAGAGCTTGGGTCACCTGGACACTGAACTCAGGTGAATTTTCTCTGAGATCCCGGGAGAAGGAGGACAGTTCTCTGGAAGGTTTTCCAGGGCCGATCACGGAAAGGATGAGAAGGGAGAGGTCCTGGTCGGGACACAATTACGGTGGCAGTGTAACGCCGGGACACTTTATTGCGTGAAGTCCCTCTCACTCCCTCTACCTCCCTCTTTTACGTGGACTCTGCCAAAGACCAGGATACCAGAATGCAGTGGAGTGACCAAGTGTAGTGGGACCTTGGGAACGCGAGTCTGGAGCCAGGCGGCTGGGGTTTGCATCCTGGTTCTGCCCCTCCTTAGCTGGCTGACATGGCACAAGCCACTTACCCTCTCTCAGCCTTACTGTCTTCAGTGGCAAATGGATCGGTCAACAGGCCCCATTGCCTGGGATTGTTACTGCTAAGATTAAGGGAAGCTTGTCCATAGAAGCACTTAGCGTTGTGCCTGGCACATAGTGTATGGTGGATAAATGGGACTTAGGACTGAAACTCATGCCTTGGTGTGTTTTTGCAGTGATGTTTTGTTCTGGGGTGCATCACAAGAGACAAGGTTCTTGGCCGGGCGTGGTGGCTCAAGCCAATAATCCCAGCACTTTGAGAGGCCGAAGGGGGAGGATCGCTTGAGCCCAGGAGTTTAAGACCAGCCTGGGCAACGTGGTGAAGCCTCATATCTACCAAAAAAAAAAGAAAGCCAGGTATGGTGGTGTGTGCCTGTAGTCCCAAGTACTTTGGAGGCTGAGGTGGGAGGATTGCTAGAGCCTAGAAGGTCGGGCTGCAGTGAGCTGGGATCATGCCACTGCACTCCAGTGTAGGTGACAAAGTGAGACCCTGTTTCAAGGAAAAGAGAGAGAGAGAGACAGACCCACAAGTGTTTTAAGCCAGAATCTCCATGTTAAAATGCTTTCTGGAGGCTAAAAGGATGACATATTGATAATGAAATATTTAAAAGGCAGAAACCCCACTGAATTTCTTGGTCCACCGAGGGAAATGGGAATCGCATGACCTGAAGGATGATGCAGGAACTGAACAGAAACCATCCTTGTTTCCTGAATCTGAATGTGGCACCCTCTTTTCACGGTGTCTGTATCTGCTCAGTCTGGCAGCCCCTCGAAAAGAGGGAATCTTGATTTTCAAACTTAAAATTTGTCCCAAAGCCCACTGCTGCCCACAATGCCCGCCACACCCATTCCTCTTCCCTTTTAGTTTCTATGGGAATACTCTCTTTGAAGAACCCAAGAAGCAGTGTCAGGCTGGTGTGAGGACCAGCAGTGATTTCTTTGAGGAGGAGAGCCCGTTTCTTCACTCACAGGCCATGTCTGAGTGGATCAAGAAGAACAGAGTGCCCTTTTATGAGATTTTGTCTGCGTAGACCATTAGCTTGGTAAAAATGTCAAAACCATCCTCGTTCTTTAATAGCAGATTATTTTGGACTTTTCTCTGCAAGAAGCAGCATGGGCATTCAGATGCTTTTAAGGATAAAATGTTCTTTCTCATCACCAGGCCTGGTGCTCTGGATGGCTGAGGTTTTAATGTGACTGGATGTCCCTTGGAGTGGCTCCCAGGCTGTGCTCTTGTGGTTGGGTGGCAAGGGGTGGCTTTATTCGGTGGTGGCTAGAGGATGTTTTAGCAGGTAAATCGGGCCCCCAGGAGCCCCTGAGTGCCAAGTCCTGCTGCAGGGCATGTGTTTATGGTGGGGAGGTTGGGGGGGTGGAGGGTGGAGGGTGGGGGGCATTGATTTCCTGCCAATATCAGAAGTTTCACAGGCTTCTTGTGTATCCACAAACACCCACCCCATTGAGAAGGCCTAGAAAACCTGGCCCTCCCCAAACCTTTATTGACCGCTTGTGAATGATCCCAGGGTGTGTCTGACCCACAGCTCCTCCTGGAGGGAGAGAAAAGTCTCTCCTAGGTATTTGGTTATCAACCTCAACCACTTGCTGAGCCTTCCTCAAGACCAGGCACCTTGGCAGAGATTTCTGGGTTGTCAGGCGGAACCGAGCATTCAAGGGTAATAACTCTTTGGAGTCCCTGAAATCCCTGATGGACGCACCAGGTAAAAGCATCCAGGGTTGAAACCAGATCAGGAAGGTTATTGTCAGCCTGGGGCTCCTGTAGAGGTGCATCCACGTTGCAGGTATTTTCCCTTCTTGCTGAGGAGAAACTTGGGTTTCTCAGCTTTGGCACAGTCACAACACTTGGGGTCAGACCATTCGTGGTGGTGGTGAGCGGGGGGCGTCCTGTGTATTGTAGGATGGTTAGCAGCATCTCTGGTCTCCATCCTCTAGGTGCCATTCTACCCTCCCAGCTATGGCTACCCCAGATGTCTCCAGATGCTTTCAAATGCTGTGGGGCAAGGGAGTGGTACGTGAGCAAAACCACCCCAGTTGAGAGCCATTGGTCTACACTTGTGGAAATGTTTGAGGGTGAGAGTGTTGAGCTTGGGTCCCTGCTGTACCCTTTATGAGCAATGCGGTCTTGGAAAATTAATACAACTCCAGGGGCCTCAGTTTTCTCATCTATAAAATGGAGATAAATGAGATACACTTTCATAGGAAGGTAATTTGAGCCCAAGTAGTCTGATTGTAGAGTCCAAACGATTTAATCTCAATTCTAGACTGCTTCCTTTTTTTTTTTTTCCTGTTGTCCCAGGTTTATTGGAAATTTTAATTATGCCAGAATAGAAATATTCAAACAGCTCCATGAGGCGTTTTGAAATTCATCCCAACTGCAGGCTGAGTGACCTGCAGGTTGGATAGACTGCTGAAGCCCAGAAGCTTCAGCATGTCCTTAGTGTCAGGATCTGCTTCAGTGATCTCTCCACCCAGGCTGAGACCTCACAAACAGAATTCTCTCTTCTTTCTCCCTCCTCCAGCAAACTCATGGAGCTGGCTCTCCCTGGGCCTCTTGAATCTGCTTCATCGGGTACATAGCATAGCCTGCTGTCTGGCTGCAGAGCTTCCTGCCAGGAATGATGGTGATCTCCTTGCACTCATGCTTGTGTGTGTGTGTGGAAGTTGCTGCCCAGGTGAATGTAGTACTTCTTGGTGATGACCAGGATGCCTTCTTCATGGTTTGAGGGCAGACATGGCCTATGTTGGCAGATCCTTGCAAAAGAGGAACTTCAGGTATTTTTTTTGAGTAAAAACTGCTTCAAGCCATTTTTGGAATCAAATAGAGTGGCTACCAGAAATAGGCTGATTTCATAGTTAGGCATAGTGGTGCGTGCCTGTAGTCCCAGCTACTTGGGAGGCTGAGGCAGGAGAATGGCTTGAACCTGAGATTGGCTTGAGCCAAGATCGTGCCAGCCACTCCAGCCTGGGCAACAGAGCAAGAGAAGGAAAAGAAAGAAAGAAAAGAAGGAAGGAGAAAGAAAAAGAGAGAAAGAGAGAGAGAAAAAGAGAGAAAGAAGGAAGGAAAGTCAGAAAGAAAGAGAAAGAAGGAAGGAAGGAAAGTCAGAAAGAAAGAAAAAGAAAGGAAAGAGAAGGAAAGAAAGAAAGGAAGAAAAAGAAAGAAAGAAAGAAAAAGAAAAGAAAGAAAGGGAGAAAGGAGGGAGGGAAGGAAGGAAAGAAGAAGGAAGGAAGGAAGTTGATTTCATTTCAGCCAGGCGTGGTGGCTCACACCTGTAATCCCAGCACTTTGGGAGGCTGAGGCAAGCTATATCACTTGAGGTCAGGAGTTTGTGACCAGCCTGGCCAACAATGGTGAAACCCTGTCTTTACTAAAAATACAAAAATTAAGGCCAGGTGCAGTGGCTCATGCCTGTAATCCCAGCACTTTGGGAGGCCGAGGTGGGTGGATCACCTGAGGTCAGGAGTTCAAGACCAGCCTGACCAACATGGAGAAACCTCGTCTCTACTAAAAATACAAAATTAGCTGGGCATGGTGGCGCATGCCTGTAATCCCAGCTGCTCAAGAGGCTGAGGCAGGAGAATCATTAGAACCCAAAAGGTGGAGGTTGCAGTGAGCCAAGATCACGCCATCACACTCCAGCCTGGGCAACAAGAGCAAAACTCCGTCTCAAAAAAAAAAAAATTAGCCGGGCGTGGTGGGTGCACCTGTAATCCCAGCTACTCGGGAGGCTGAGGCAGGAGAATCGCTTGAACCCAGGAGGTGGAGGCTACGGTGAGCTGAGATCTCACCACTGCACTCCAGCCTGGGTGACAGAGTGAGACTCCACCTCTAAAAAGAAAAAGAAAAAGAAAAAATAGATTGATTTCAAAAAGATTAATCACTGAAAATAGCTGTTGTTGGAAATGGTGTGGAGCAATGAGTTCTCTGAAACCTCACTCACTATGGGTGGGTGTATAAATTGGGAGCGGCTTTCTATGGAGCAGTTGGCAGTATTTGTGAAAATGTTAACTACCCATGCCCATTGTCCTAGCAATTTTGCTTGTAGGTGTTCTATCCCACAGAAACTCGCATGTCTATACAAAGACAGGAGCAAGACTGCTTATGATGGCGTTGTTTATAATCAGGAAGTGCTGAAAATAACCTAAATATCCATCCATAGGGGTGTGCATAAGTGACTTTTGATGCACCCATGCGTCAACCATTATAGTGATTAAAAAGAACAAGGGAAATATCTAACGACTGACATGAGGACAGCTCTAAGATGTGCGGTGGTATCAGAAAAGTCTTGAGACAATAGTGTGCAAATATATGTGCATGTGGCTGTGTACAAATGTAGAGAAAATGATCTGGAAAGTTACAGCCCTGGTCCCTGTTGCCTGGCATGTTCCAGAAACAGCAAGGAGGCTAAGGAGGATGGTGTGAATGAGGGGAGAGTAGGAGGAGCTGGGTCAAAGAAGTCGCAATAGGCAGAGGACATTGTCCCTGCTGGGTGTGCAGGACCCTCCCCCTTGGCCACCACAGTGCAGCTAGATCCACCAGCTCATGCCCAGAGTTTCTGGTTCTTCCCTGTATTAATGATACCTTTCTATCTTCTATGTTTCTGATGCTTTGACATCTGGGGTCTTGGTAACCCTGGAGGGATTGCTCCTCCCAGGGATGGCCAAGAGATAGTAAAGGACTGGCCTGTAAGTGTGCATTTAACATGCAAACTAATCAATGCACAGCCCCCACCCGCACCACCCCCTTTATCTCTGGGCTCTTTCACTCCAGGCCACTATTCTCCTGCCCTAATCACTCCAGGGCCAGGTACCAAGCATCTAGGGTCAGCCGCTATGCCCCAAAGCCTGCTGAAATTATTCAATCTAGCCAATCCTAAGCCTGTTTACCCTGCCTCACCTGGAAACTAAAGTAAAGGATCTTGCCCCATTTGCCCCTCACACCCTCTGCCTCCTGATTGACCCTCATGCCTCTCCTTGTGGCTCTTCCTGGCATGGCATGCCCCCTCCTCTTGGGACCTGTGAGTAACAAACTCTTTTCTGTGGCAGTCGTCTCCTGAGCTGTTGGTCTCACTGTACTTGAGTAATAATAAGACTTACATCCGTATTTGAAACACACCCCACAGGGTGTGGGATGGAAAGACCTCAGAGCCCCCAAAATGACCAAATGATGCCAGAAGTACAAAAGAATTTATCGTTCATTGGCCACAGAACCAAGGTTGACTAATGAGACCCAGGAGACAGGAGGGATCCAGGTAGATAAACCCCCTCTCCTTCCATCTTTCTCTGGACTATCTGAGACTGGATTTCTCCTTGCAGTCCTCCTGGAGGTGTTCTGTGTAAGGTGGGTGTACCTCCAGAGCAGCCACGAGGGTGATTGTGGAGTGATGGCCTCATGGTACCACCCTTCCCATGGCTTCCCTGCTCCCTTTCTCGGCCTGTGATCATCCTGGGCTCATATCTGGGCTTGCACCACCCAAAGGAAGCAGCCACACATTCATCCTTGCCCTGAGCCCCATTTCTAGAGAAAGCAGGCTAACCAACTTCAACTGTGAACTGTGGCAACATCTTCGAGCTGGGAGGTGGGGAGTTATACAAGGAAGCTCTAATTTTGGCTCTACATATCTGTATATTATATATGTTTTAAGGTGATAATGTATTTATTACCTGAGTAAATTTAAAATATTAAAAATGATGATAAGCTTAAGGGTTAAAAAAAGAAGGAAAGAGGGGTGTTAAGAAAATGCGTGTTTTGGCAGCAGGAGCAGGCTAGCACTGTCTTTTGCTGGCTTGTCATTGGTTTTGAAGCTTTGCTCTAATAGAAACCCCAGCCCAGTGACAGAGAAGGGGCCTCTTACTCACAGACCTGTCAGCACTTGTTGCCTTTGACGCCACATCTCTGTCTCCTCTGGTGTGCCCAGCTTCTGTCCGCCTCCTCCTCCTCCTCTCCAGCTGTCTTCAGGAGCTTTTCATCAAAGGAAAAGTGTGGGGCTCATTTGTCTCTGCCTGGCCCTCACTCACACTGAACCTCCAGGAGCTAGATAGAGGCTTCCTACGACAGCTGTGCCCCTCAGATAATTAACACTCAAGGGATAATCTAGGAAGTGATCTTTCAATTATATAATTAGTTCAGCTGGGTTCAATTACTAGTTATGTCATGACACTGCTGTGTGTCCTTAGGCAAATTGCTTAATGTCTCTGAGCTTCAGTTTTCCCCTATGTAAAACAGGGATAAAATAGTATCTACCTCATAAGGTTGTTGGGTGTTTGAACATATCTGAGACACTTAACATAATCCTCAGAGTAAATGTTCACTTTTTTAAAAAGTTTTTAGATACAGGGTCTTGCTCTATCACCCAGGCTGGAGTGCAGTGGCGTGATCATAGCTCACTGCAGCCTTGACCTCCTGGGCTCAAACCATTCCCTCACCTCAGCCTAAATGTTCATTTTCATCAGCAGCACTTGTTATTATTAATCTCCCCATTCATTCATTCACTTATTTTCTAAACTAACATCGAGTGCCTACTGTGTGCCATGTCCTTTGCTAGTTTCCAGATCCGAAAAACAGAGATAAAAATACTTTTCCTCTATATGTGACAGGCTGGTTTGGAGCCAGCAATAGCAAGAAAGAGTTATATTAGACACCAAGAAGAACTTCCAAGTATGACAGGTTAGCAATTCCTAAAGTGGCAAAAGGGGAATTGAGGGAACCTGGACTCTTCTAATGGAAAGAGAACTTGGTTCAGAAACCATTTGAACTACTGAGACCTTTACAACTACAACCCTCTGAACCACACTGGCAGGTTGCTGAGCAGGAGAAGAGGAGAAAAGATGTATTTTTCCAGGTAACATTTGGTGCGTCTGAGATGAGCCCCATGAAATTTACAGCATTTTCCTTAAAAGGCAGATGACCAGTATTTCGATTCTTAAGCACAGCAGGCCCCAGCCTGGCAAGATTGGGATGAAGAGAAGCTGATGAGAAATATATGAAACAGGTGCCAAAATTTCTTCTTTGCCAATAAAAGAAAGTTACGATTTAAAATTGGCCATGTGTCTGTAGGAAGGGGGAGAATGGGATGTGATGGAGAGAACTCTCCTCTGTAACAACTCTGTTAGCTAGAGGCCCCTGGAAGGAGGGTGGCTGGGCACACAGGGGCACCAATAGCCCAGCTGGGGCCTCTTTCTCCTGTAGCAGATGCAGGAGCCCAGACCATGTGGTAGTCGATTTCTTGGGGGCACCACAAATGCAGAACTCCAGCATGGTTGCAAAAGACCGCATTAGACCAGTGGTTCTGAAATTTGGGCATCAGAATTCCCTGGAGGGCTTTGTTACAACACAGATTGCTGTGTCCCACTCCCAGAGTTTCTGATTCAGTAGTTCTGGGGGTGGGACCCAAGAATGTACGTTTCTCACAAGTTTGCAGATGTTGCTGGGCCACACTTGGAGATGCACTGCTTTCAATGAACTTTTAAGGCTCTTTCTAATGCCAGGATTCTAGCACAAAGTCCACTCAGCTCTGGGAGGTGGAAGCCAGGAGGAGGCACCTGAGGCAATGTGGAAAGAGGGAGTAGGAGGTCACGGAAGGCTTCCTGGAGGAGGAAGTACCTGCATTGAGCTTGAAGCAGGGATTCTCCTGGTGATTTTAAAAGACAGGCAGAAAGAATTCCTGGTAAAGGAAACAGAATTGAGTGGGCTGAGGAGAGAAGCGGTTTGATTTGTGACTGGTTGGAATGTGCGGTAGGGGCTGTGGCCAGGGCAATGGGCAGCATCCAGATTACAAAGTGCCTTGAATGGCAGGCCGAGAAACTTGACCTTCATCCTGAGGGCCAGGGAGTGTTGCTGAGGGCTGTGAGCAGGAGGGCGACATAATCAGGTTTGACTTTTAGAACGATTTCTCTGCAAGGCAGGGGAGGAGGGGGTTCAGTTGTGACTATTTATCTGCTTCCTACAGATGAAGAAACTGGAGCTCAGAAAATAGAAACGGCTGGCCCAACACCATGGCTTGAGAGTGGCACGGCCAGGACCCACCCTGGTTTGCCTGATACTAAGTGTGCACTTCTGCCCGCCACTCCGCAAGAGCTTGGAGCAGGGGGACCTGAATCCCAAACCTGGCTCTGCCCAGTCTATTGGGGCCTCAGGGTTCTGACAGGGATCACAGTCTACCCTCTCTTGGCCACTGGGAGGACCAGTGAGTAAAAGGACAGTTTATTACGGATGCAGCTTTAACGCTGGTGCAGTCATAGGAAAGGGGGCTGAGCAATCAAGGGGGCTGGGGGAGGCAGGACAGTGCCAGTCCAGAGGAGCCTGGGCTCTGTCATCAGAGCCGCAGCTTTGTGCTGACAATGATGTCCTCAGAAGTGCAATGTTCCCTGAGTCATCAGGCCTAGACACAAAGGGGCCCTGCCCCTGCCCAGCCCCTGTCAGAGCTGCTGCTTCTCTCTGCTGTAATGAGGGATGTTCTCTGCAGAGGCAACAGCAGCCCCACTTCCTAGCTGTGCTCTCAGCCAGTGCTAATGAGGTATTTGGAGAGCCCTGGAGGTCACAGGGACCCAGGGGCTTGGGAGGGGGAATTCATCACGGGCAAGATCACACCCTGACCCACAGAGGAACACTTACGCGGTACCCCCCAGTGGACGCCACAAAGCCGCTATGTGAGCACTCATGGCAGTGTACTCATCACAGCCAGCAGACCCACTGGGGGCTCCTTTTACTCTCCAAACCAGTGGTTCTTGACCTTCCTGGATCATAGACCCATTGGAGAATTTGGCAAAAGCTCAAAACTCTTCCCCCAACAAAAATTAAATGCAAACCAATAAAGTAATAATCCCAAGAGCTGGCATGTATGAATAATTTGCTACGTGCCAGGCACAAAGTTAAGTAGTTAACATATCTTATCTAATCTTCATCACGCCCTGGTAAGTCAGGTTTACCATCTCTACTTTGCAGGTAGGTGGATTGAGACACAGAAAGGTTGTTAGCACCTAGAGGTGCTGTAGCTCGTTAGTGTAGTAGTCAGACTTAGCTAGTTGAACTCACACCTAGGTCTGTTTAACTCCAAAGCCTGTACTTTTAACAAACTCACTCTGCCACACATATTCATATAGACAGGCATAACTTTGGAGACTGTTTCAGGACATGATAAACCCATGAAAGCCGTGAGCAGCATCCTTCCTGAGTGCCAGGGACATAATTCCCTCTTTTCCTCCTGAAAGATCTCACAGGTCAGTGGGGGACAGACAGGTCCCTTGGTGGTCAGTGCTGTGAAGGAGGAGCTGGAACCACAGAGGAGGGTCATCCATCCCAGCCACGGGTGTCAGGAAGGACTTCCCAGATACAGTAATGTCATTGAGTCGCTGGCTATTAAGGGATAGGTGGGCAAGGGCATTCCTGGCAGGCAGAATGGTGGGGGCAAAGATGTGGGAGCAGGAGAGGGCATGATATGTTTGGGGACAGTGAGAAGCTAAGGAGAGTGACAGTAGATGGTGGGGAGCATGAGAACTGGAAAGTAGCAAATGACGAGGCTGAAAATGTCAGATTCTGTAGCAATCAGGCTGATTTTTTTTTTTTTTCTTTTTTTGAGACGGAGTCTTGCTCTGTCACCCAGGCTGGAGTGCAGCCTCCACGTCCCAGGGTCAATCAATTCTCCTGCCTCAGCCACCTGAGTAGCTGGGACTACAGACGTGTGCCACCACACCTGGCTAATTTTTGTATTTTTAGTAGAGACGGGCTTTCACCATGTTGGCCAGCTTGGTCTCGAACTCCTGACCTCAGGTGATCTGCCCACCTCAGCCTCCCAAAGTGCTGGGATTACAGGTGTAAGCCACCGTGCCCGGCCAATCAGGCTGTTCTGGCCACAAGTAACAGAAACCCCAACCAGCAGTTGTATAAACAATTAGCCGATTTTATTATCCTGTGTAACAGCATGTCCAGACAGTGGGGCGGCCTCAGAGTTGGTGAAGTCTTTGTGGTATGACTCAGTGACATTGTCAAGAACTCATATGTATCCATCTTTCTGCTCTGCCATTCCCTGTCAGTTGACTTCCATCTCAGGCTTGTGCCCTCATGGTCACAAAATAGCTGCCAAAGTGCCAGTCATCACTTAAAACCATGATGACATAAGCAGAAGAAGGGGACTTATTTTTTTTTGGCCATGGTGCCTCTGTTTTATCAGCAAGGAAACCTATTCCCAAAGCCCCCATTGACATCCCATCATATATCACTGAATGACACAAACACCCCTAAACAGAATACCAGAAAAAAAAATTGAATTTCTGTGATTGTTTTAGACCCATCAACATTCACTTCTTCAGAGATGCACAACTGCTTGCTCCGGAGAAGAGAGAAGCATCCAGACTGTTTTTCAAAGTGAGCTTGAGAGTTATTAACACTGATATTAACCCCAGTATCTGACCCTCCCCACACACAGAGTCCTTTATATAGAAGACCTTGAACCCACCAGGAGACTTCATGAGCCACACAAAGAGAAACAGCCTAGTCTTACTGACTGTACCTCTAGAAACTGCTCCCTTGGCTGTAACTCATTAGGAAACTGTCGACACAGTTGTAGCATGTCTTAAAAGTTAAGCACATGGAGTCAAAATGACTGGAATCTTGAGTTTTTGCCTGACCCACTTAATGTCTCTGAGCCTCAGTTTCCTCATCTGTCAAGTGGGATAGCTGTAGTACCTACATTGCAAAGCTGTATGTGAGAATAAAATGAGACAGTGCATATGATGTGCTTAGTGTGGGCACAGGGCATTGCAGGTAATTGATAAATGTAAGCTATTCCTATTATTGGGGTTAATATTAAACCATCAGTCTCTCAGGATGAGCCTCAGTGAGAAGGCGAGTCAGGTCCTCTGCCTGGGTCTTGGTTAACAGCTGGGGCCCTGAGAGGAACAATGGGGCATGAGAAGGAGACCTCTCTCTCCCAGAGGTCATCCTGTGTTTGGGTTGGAGAGGCTCACCCAGGTGCAGGAGCTGGTGCTATGTAGGAGGGATACTACCTCAGCAATGCCAAGTGATAGCAGAGGAGGTTGTCAGAAGGGCAAGGCAGAGACAGAATTGAAATCTCAAGTCGAAATTTGATTCTGGACTCTGCCACACAATCTACAGGGTGGTAGTTAAGAGACTCCAGCTGCTGACTGGCCTGGCTTTGGGGATGTCCTCCATTTGCCCTCCAGACCCATTTTTGGCCCTGTATGTGTCCAGGCGGCAGATCTCTATGGACTGCCCCATGCAGGTTCCCTCTCCTTCAGATTCTGGTGTGGTTTAGAAGATCAGAGAGGAGAGGAAAGTCGGGGCATTTCCACTCCCCTCCCTGTATGACCCTGGCTTTTGGGGTCATACAGAATTAGGTTTCCATCTTGGCTTAGTGTCTTAGTCCATTTAGTGTTGCTATAAAGCAGTATCTGAGGTTGGGTAATTTAGAAAGGAAAATGGTTTATTTGGCTCATGATTCTGATGTCTAGAAAGTTCAAACTGGGCATCTGCATCTGGTAAGAGCCTCAGGCTGCTCCCTCTCATGGTGGAAGGTGAAGGGGAGCCTGTGTGTGCAGAGATCACATGGCCAGAGAGAAAACGACAGCGAGAGCGAGAGAGAGCTAAAGGGAGAGAGAGAGAGAGACAAAGACAGAGCGAGCGAGCACAGAGTGCTGGGCTCTTTTTAACAACCAGCTCTCAAAAGAACTCACAGAGCGAGAACTCACTCACCCCTGAGGGAAGGCATTAATCTGTTCATGGCTGAATCTGTCCCCATGACCCAAACATTGAAGATCAAATTTCAACATGAGGTTTGGAGGGACAGACATCCAAACTATAGCACTTAGCAATTCACTAGCTGTATGATCCTAGGCAAGCAGCTTCCCTTCTCTGAAAGTCAGTATCGTAATCGGGAAAATGAGAATAATAGCAATATTTACCTGTGAAAGTCATTGTGGGTATCAAATGTGATAACATAAATAAGGTTCTTAGTTCAGTGCCCAGGACATAGTGAATGCTCAGAAGATCTCACTGTTATAATAACAATAATAATATTTACCCTTGGTGTTAATGGGCATAAGGAGGCTATTAAAGTCTCCCATAAGGGCCGGGCATGGTGGCTCATGCCTGTAATCCTAGCACTTTAGAAGGCCGAGGCGGGAGGATTGCTTGAGCCCAGAAGTTCAAGACCAGCCTGAGCAACATGGCAAAAACCTGTCTCTATAAAAACAAAAGCAAAAATTAGCTGGATGTGGTGATGCACACCTATAGTCCCAGCTGTCAGGAGACTGAGGTGGGAGGATCACCTGAGCCTGAGAAGGTCAAGGCCGCAGTGAGCCATGCCGTGCAGTGGAGTGCCACTGCACTCCAGCCTGGGCGAGAGAGTGAGACTTTATCTCAAAAAACAAAAAAAGCCTCCCATGATTCTATAAGCCAGAGTGTCCTGTCTTCACTGTATTACTATTTTATGTCTTCTACTAAGGCTGTGTCCACTGGGACCCTGGCAGGAAACCCCCACTGAAAGGGGGCATCTGAGGACAGCTCAGTGATGAGATGGACAGGGTCAGGAGAAGAGCCGGAGACACAGTGGGGAGAAACGAGCACCCTGAGGCCGGGTGGGGCAAGGGAGGGGTGGTGTTGCCGGAACCCCGAGAGAGCTGGAGCCGTCAGGGAGGGCTGCCCGCAGGAGCTGTGGCTGTAGGAGGAAGAATGGAGTGAAACTGCAGCAGGCAGGGAGGGGAGTGGACATGCCTCTTTCCTCTCCTCTCTCCGTTTGATCTGAACCATACCAGAATCTGAAGGAGAGGGAACCCGCATGGGGCAGTCCATAGAGATCCACCGCCCAGACACAGGCAGGGCTGAGAATGGGTCTGGAGGGCAAATGGAAGACATCCCCAAAGCCAAGCCAGTCAGCAGCTGAGGGCACCAAGCAATAAGCCAGGAGTAGAATAGTGCCCTGCACACAGCAGGGTCTTAATAAATGTTTGTTATTGACAAGAGCTATCATGGTTTTGGAGAAATAAGTGGCAGGGAAACTATACTAGACAGTGACTGGAGCCCTCCCCAGCATAGCTCTCTCACCTGGGTAGGGGCCAGGGAGGTGGTCGGCAGGCGGTATGGGTGAGAGAAAGGAAGAAGCACTCCTCTCTCAGAAACATGCTAAAATTAGTTTGATGTTTATAGATTGTATCGGTCAGAACTCGTTTTGTTATATTTGAAAAAAACGCAAATGACTTAAGTAAAAATGAGATTTATTGGCTCATGTAACTGAAAAGGCCAAGGGTATTAGGCGTGGATGGACCCAGGTGCTCAAATAAAATCAGCAGATGTCAGTCTCTCTCCATCTCTTGACTGTCTTCTCTTGGTTGTCTTCATTCTCAATGAATGGGTTTCTTCTTTGCACTGGTAAGACAGCCTCTAGCGGAGCAAGGGTAAATCTCATCAGTTTAGTAACTGAGGGGAAATAGAGGGCCTCTCACCAAATATTCCAGTAAAGGCCCGGGAGTTGACTCTCATTCTGACTTGGCTTCACCCACCCTTGAGCCAATCACTGTGGCTGTGGTTGAGGAGGTGGGAGGTGGGGTGATTGGTCAGATCTGGATCTGGCTCAGAGCTCAGAATTAAGGATCCCCGCACCTGGTTCCTGGCTGTGTGACTTCAGACAAAGTATGCATCTCTCTGTGCAGAAATTTCCTTACCATGGGCAACTTAGGATGATACAATTAAAACAGGCAAATCCTTAGCTCGGTCCAAGTGCTCTCCATAAGTGTAAGCAATGCTGCCTGAGGATGTGGTGTAGAGGTGTGTAAAGGCCCAGACTCTGGAGCCTGCAGGCCTGGGTTCACATTGGGGCTCTGTCATGTCCCAGCCCAGCACAAGACTTAAGCCCAAGGAAACTGTGCCTCAGTTGCCTCATGGGGATAATTGTAAGTGTTACTTCCTGGATGTGAAGATTAAATAAGTCAAAACAGGCTAGGCGTGGTGGCTCACGCCTGTAATCCCAGCACTTTGGGAGGTTGAGGTGGGCAGATCACTTCAGGTGAGGAGTTCAAGACCACCCTGGGCAACATGGCAAAACCCTGTCTCTACAAAAAATACAAAGATCAATCAGACGTGGTGGTGTGCGGCAGGAGGATCGCTTGAACCTGGGAGGTGGAGGATGCAATGAGCCAAGATCGCACCACTGTACTCCAGCCTGGGCAACAGAGTGAGACTCTTCTCAAAAACAAAAACAAACAAATAATAAATAAGTCAAAATACATCATATACTTAGGACAATGCCTAGCACAGATAAATGCCAAGTATTAGCTCTTCTTATTTAGTGTTGCTATAAAGCGATAACTGAGGCTGGGTAATTTATAAAGGAAAAAGGTTTATTTGGCTCATGATTCTGATGGCTGGAAAATTCAAACTAGGCATCTGCATCTGGTGAAGGCCTCAGGCTGCTTCCTCTCATGGTGGAAGGTGAAGGGGAGCCTGTGTGTGCAGCAATCACATGGCCAGAGAGACAGCGAGAGAGAGAGATTCAGACAGCGGGTGCGGGGAGGTGCCAGGCTCTTTTTAACAACCAGCTTTCAAAAGAACTCACAGGCTGGCTGTGGTGGCTCATACCTGTAATCCCAACAATTTGGGAGGCCAAGGCGGGTGGAACATCTGAGATCAGGAGTCTGTGGGACCCTGGCCAACATGGTGAAACCTGTTTCTACTAAAAATACAAAATTAGCCGGGTGTGGTGGCACAGGCCTGTAATTCCAGTTAATCAGGAGGCTGAGGCTGGAGAATCACTTGAACCTGGGAAACTGAGGTTGCAGTGAGCCGAGATCGTGCCATTGCACTCCAGCCTGGGCGACAAAAACAAAAGCTCAGTCTCAAAAAAAACAAAAACAAGACTCACAGAATGATAACTCACTCATCCCTGAGGGAGGGCATTAATTATCAACTGCTGATATATAATATGCTGAATATATCAGTGGTTCACAATCTTTTGGTCTCAAAACTTCTTTATGCTCTTAAATATTATTGAGGACCCCAGGGAACTTTGTATTCTGTGGATTATATCTACTGATATTTCCCATACTACGAATTAAAACGAGAGCTTTAAAAATGCTTATTTACTAATTTTGAAATAGCAATAATAAATCCACTATCTAATGCATTATCTAATTATCTATTAACATAAATAACATATTTTTATGAAAAATAAGCTATTTTCCAAAATGAAAAGACAATTTAATGAGAAGAGTGGCATTGCTTTACATTCTTGCATATTTAAAAAAATATCTGACTTAATAGGTTCTGGCTTCCCTTATCTGCTTCGCATTTAGTCTGTTTTTTTGGTTGAAGTATATGAAGAAAACCTGGCCTCACACAGACATGTAGTTGGGAAAGTGAAGACCGCAAAGATTCCCTGAAAGGATAATGGGACAACTTCAAGAACGGCTGCGATACATCAAGCACGAGAGCCAACATGCTGTTCACCTGTAGCTGTTCAATTCGGAAGCAGACTGACTGGATTTAAATTTCAGATGTGTGGGCAAGTCACCTAAACACCCTGTGCCTCAGTTTCCCCCTAGAGAGGGTCAAATGACTTGTTTTCTGTGGCGAGGCGAGAGCAATGCTTGGCACATACTAAGTGCTCAATAAGTACTGACTGTTAGAATCATTGGCTCTGTGCCTGGCACTAGTAGGGGCTCCCTTTTCTTCCCAGGGCAGGCATCCATCCCCTCAGAGATCATCTTTAACCTGCCAGGAATGGCCTGGGTTCCATGATCTCCAGGGCTGCCCTGAGACCTTGAGCTTCTTCAAGGGAAACCCAGCTAAGCCCAGTGTGTGCCTTGTGCCATCTCTTTGGCCACAGCCCAAAGCAGCCTTGCAGTGTGTGCGTGCCAGCCTCTGGCATGTCGGATGGGGTGTACCTGCGTCGGAGCTGAGACATTTTCCTCCCCAGCAGCTGGCGATTAGGAAGTCACTCTCTATAATGGACGAGGCCTAATCAGCCTGCTGATAATTACCAGGCCCAGAACGTGGCCGCGATTCAGGAAAGATGATCCCCGAAGACAAGAGCCACTTAAATCCTGGCATTGACCACGGGTCCCCTTGGTAACCGATAACTCTCAGCACAATTTAGCCACTGAGCTAATTGATGTTCTCTGAGGCAGTCGGCTCATACCCCGGCAGTCAAAATGGGCTCTAATTGCCGACATCCTTCAGGTAAGAAGCCCCACATGTTCTCATGCCACCCGAGAGGCCCCAAGCAGGAACTGAGTCTCTCATCAAACCAGTCCTGTGATTGCATCCAATTAATCAAACTTAGGTTTGCAGAAATAATTAATTAAAGAACATATCAGAGGAAGTCATGACATTGAGGTGTTTCACAGCAAAGCAGGACAGGCACCTTCCCTGAATGTGAGAGGCGGCTCCTTGAAGAAATGTTCCCCAGCTATCAAAGCTGCCCAGGTGAGGCACAGCAGGTGTAGATGAAAGACCAGTGGACTTGGAGCCTTCCAGAACCAGGCACAGTTCTGGTGAGCCTCGGGCACATCACTTCACCTTGCTGAGCCAGGCCTTTCTCGCCATAAACTGAGGGTATTTATTAATGGTGCTGGAATTTCCTCGTGCAGGGCCTAGCACATGGTGGCTTCTTAGTGACACAGTGCAGAGTGAGAAACTGACAGCCAGTGGAGGGCCATTTGATGTCTTCCAAGGTGTTTTAAAAGGTAGGGTACTTGGACAGATGTTACATTGGGTTGCACATGAGCTCTCAGCTTGGCAGCCATCCTTGGAGCTGGCTTCCCAGGTTATACTAACTGCACAGCACCCCACAGTATTTGGTTTGCCCCACCATCTCCCTCTAGGGCCCTAGAATCTGGCAAGCCTGGTCTCAAATCCCAGCTCTACCTTCATTCATGCAGCCTTCCTTTGCATTTGGCAGATGTTTACTGAGCACTTGCTCTGTGCCAGGCGCTGTCCCAGGTGCTGGTCCTGCAGGAGTATGTGGAGCCTAGAGTTTGATGAGGGAGGAGCCATTGATGAAATGCCACCCAAGAAGACTGCAACAGACGCTGTTGAAGCCTGCAGCAGATGCTGTGGGAACCTCACTCAACCCCTCAGCTCTCACCTTTGAGGTGAATGCCAATGGTATCCTGAGATTCTTCACCTAAGGGCATTCTCGAGGTTGGCACAGAGGGCAAGCTGGAATTTTGAACCTCTCAACCCCCATCCATGGGAACTGGAAGACAAAAATATCCAGCTTCCTTATCTAATCAAGTGGGATAGCTCTGAGGCCTGTTCTACAATCTCCCAAGGACCCCTAACAGGATGGAGCCCCAGCTGCCCACAGCAATAACTGGCTCGCGAATGCACTCCACATCATGCCCTTCCCGTCCCTGAATCACTCCCTCGCTCCCAGACCTGGGCTCACTCTCCAAGTAAACTACTGACACTCAAATCTTTGTCTCAGAGTGTGGTGCTGGGAAACTCAGCCTGAGACAGATGTAATTACAAACTGTGATAGCTGCAAGCAAGGAGAGGGATGCCGGGCCGCATTCTGACAAGGTGTTGTCTGAAATGACAGCTAAGGAAGCATAGGCATTATCTAATGTAGATCGTCAGGATGCAGCACAGCAAACAGAAACCGTTTTAGGAACATTAACAGGAGGCAGGAAGGGTTGACCCAGCAGGGCTGGCTGTCAGCTCCTTGCACTGCTGCTATGGCTTCACAGGTATGTCAAGCCAGAATCTGTCCATCCAGCTGGGGCACATGTACTGATTGGCTAATGCCTGTCTTGGACCGGCTGATGAATGTTTTGAATATTGCTCTGGAATTAGGTGCTTATAAAATTGTTGCCGGGCTTAGAGAGTAGGCTTGCAGAACGCTGTTTTCTCTGTTTCCAATCAGGAAGGTGAGAAATCTGGAGGCCACCATCAGGATTATTAATATTCTAAAACTCATTTATGGTACCCCTTGGTAAGATTACTAAAGAAATCACTAGGCCAGGTGCGGTGGCTCACACCTGTAATCCCAGCACTTTGGGAGGCTGAGGCGGGCAGATCACAAGGTTAGGAGTTCGAGACCAGCCTGACCAACATGGTGAAACCCTACCTCTACTAAAAATACAAAACTTAGCCGGGCGTGGTGGCACGTGCCTATAATCACAGCTGCCCGGGAGGCTGAGGCAGGAGAATCGTTTGAGCCTGGGAGGCGGAGGTTGCAGTGAGCCAAGATTGCACCACTGCACTCCAGCCTGGGCGACAGAGCAAGACTCCGTCTCAAAAAACAAAACAAAAATTATACTAAGTGAAACCAGACACAAAGGTCATATATTATATAATTCAATTTTTATGAAATGTACACAACAAGCAAATTCATAGAGAAAGAAAATCGACTAGTTGTCGGGCTGAGGGAGGACGTGGGAAGATTGGGGGAGAGATAGCTAAAGTGTACAGGGTTTCTTTTGGGGGTGAATAAAATATTTTCAAATTGATTGTAGTGATGGTTGCACAATCTGAGAATTTACTAAAAATGATTGAATTGTACACTTTAGATGGGCGAATTGTACAGTATGTCACATATCTCAGTAAAGCTGTTAGTGTGTGTGTGTGTGCACGTGTGTGTGTGTGCACGTGTGTGTGTATGCATATGTAGCCCAACAAAGTTGTTTAAAAAGAAAAAAAGAACACACCCTGTAGCTGTGAAACTGGACGGGAAGCTGCCATTGAGGACCCTAGAAACCCCAAAGCTGGGGGTTGGACACTGGGAAACTACCGCAGAAACACCACCCGTCACCATCATCTTGCTTTCCAGCACGAATCGTCAAAGAGCCTTCTAAATCTCACATGACAGCATCCACGTGGAGAACTTACTGTGCATCCAAAAAAAAAAAAAATCTAGCTGCACGGGAGCTACAAATGTAGTTTCTGCTTTCCAACCTCCACAGTACAGGAAGACACACTAGGAGGTAAAGCAGAAATAATGAGGAGAAAAGAGGGAATAACAGCACAAAGACCCTGAGGCATGTTCAGGAAACAAAAAGGAGGCAAATTGAGCAGGCCACTTGGCTATGGTCAGGAGGTTGGATTTTTCTCCTAGGTGAAATGGAAGCCACTGGTGGGCTCCAAGCACGCTGGGTGCTGTGATCAGATT
The DNA here is from genome assembly GCF_000001405.40 of Homo sapiens. NCBI lineage: Eukaryota > Metazoa > Chordata > Mammalia > Primates > Hominidae > Homo > Homo sapiens. The sequence goes on along the minus strand of NC_000003.12, from coordinate 129,982,152 downwards.
TGTACTTCAGAAAGGTCCCTCTGGCTCCTGTGTGGAGAGTAGGTTTGGGAGACCAGAGTAGAAGCCAGAGACCAGCAAGGGGGGGCTCTGCAATCTCACGATGAGGGGTGATGGTGGCCGGGATGGTAGCTGAAGAGTTGGAAGGAAGTAGGTGGACTTGAGACATGTTTAGGAGGTGTAATCTACAGGACATAGAAAGAATTGAATGTGGGTAATAAGGGAAGGAGGGTATAGAGACAACTCCAAGGTTTCAGGCTAATGAACTTAGAAAAGTCACCTCATTTCTCTTTTTCCTTTTCTCTACACTGGAAATGACTATGATGAGTAATTTATTCATTCAACATATATTTACAGATCACCCACTGTATGCTGGGGAGTGGATGCGAAAGTGTTTTTTCCAATGTCTGGCCCCAGAGTAAGGGTTCAGAAAGAAAAAATTATTTTTCTTTTATCCTTCAAAGCTCAACTCAAATACCCTTCCCCCAGGGAGGCTTCCTTCATTCCACCCCAATCCGCACTGCTCTCGCGCTTCTAAGCTGTGGGAATCGGAGTCCCAGTGTGGAGCATGGCCTGAACCAGGAAGCATGGGGAACACGGCTCGCCCCCTTAGAGCTAGGAGATAGGGTAGAAGATTTCAGATGTTAGCAACTCCAAGAATTCGTTATGTCTCCCACCAAGCCCTTTGCTGATCTTCTTTCTTCTGCCTTAAATGTTTTTTTCTCTTATTTATCACTTACTTGGATGTTACCTCTTTCAGGAAGCCTTCTTTCCTCAACCAGACCAAGTTGCTCTCTCATCTCTGTTCTTCTTGCATCCTTTATTCCCCATGGAAAATTAAAAAAAAATCTTAAGCCCCAAAATTGACTGAATGGACTCTCTCTGTTAAGGAGACCCCAGGGTAACCTTAAAAACTGACTTCCTAATGGGAGGTCAGACTGCCCTGTTACATCCCCTCCCTCCATAACTACCACTAGCCTTTCTTCCCTAAGGGTTAAGCAGAGACCAGCCCTTTTGAAAGACTCGTTCCAATGCTGACATCAACCAACTGCCCAATGCTGCCCCTCCATTTCTGTGGTTTTGACACAGCCACTGACAAGCAGTCCTTCCTGATAGAAGACCACCAACCACAGAGTGGTTCTGGCCAGTATACAAAGGCTGGGCACAGAAGGCCTTTGTGTCCTCAGCATCACCTTTTGATGTATAGGGCCTAACTGTAATACATTTAACTGTTGTCTCCACCCCAAAGTGAACATGAGATGTATGTTGCATGCGTGTTAGCCTACTACTATGTCCAGGCCTCCCCTTCATGAATAATCACAGCTCCTCCTATAACCTGTTAACTATCTCGGCATAAATTCCAGTTCCCTTTTCCCCTCCCTCGAAGTGTTTCTGGCTTCTGGCCGGAAGCTGCCCTTCCCAGACTGTCAGAATGGCCTCCTGCAGGTTGCAACCCTTTATAAGAAATAAAAATCTCCTTTCCAAATTTGTGAACCTCATGGTTCTTCAGTTGACACCCCACACTCCTCACACTAAGTTGTCATCATCTGTTTGCCTGTCGGTTTCCCCACTGGATGGAAGCCCCTCAAGGGTAGGGACCCCCTGGAAGTCAGGCTGGGGGACTAAGATAGAAGTGACCTGCAGCTTTCAACATCTATTCAGCAAATATTTGTTGAGCACCTACTTCATGCCATGCCCTGATCTAGGCAGCATTGATGAAAGCAGACACATGTGAGAAGGAAAAGATGGGAAAGATTTCCGTGAGAAGAGAATGGAGTGGGCATCTGTGTTTATCAGAATTGAAATCTCTGTGACTTAACACACACATGTTTGTTTCTTGCACATGAAAAGTCTGATGTCGTGAGTAGTGCCTAACTTCCATCTAGTGAAGCCAGGGCTCAGAATCCATCCATCATGTGCTCTGCCATCTCTACATGTGGGTTTTCATCCACCATGACAGCAAGAAAAAGATGAATGAGGCACACTGGCTCTAACTGCCTAAACTGGAAAGTGTCATCTACTGCTCACAGCCCACTGGCCAGGACTAGTCACTTGACTCCACCCCAACTGCAAGGGAGGCTGGGAAATGTAGAAGTGTACAGAGAGCATCACAGGCACAGCATCCTGGGCAGAGCAGAGGCCGTGTGTGTGTTGGGGAGAAGGGCGAGGAGGAGGAGAGGGGCGTTTGGAGAGCAGCAAGCACACCATTTTGCCCTAATGCCTCGCATGGACTTGTAATAAAGCCCCATCAACTTTTTGTTTTGTTTTTGTTCGCTTTTGTGATTGGAGAATGAAACAAGGGAGGAACAGTTGGTCTCCAAATTTCAGTTTTAAGTCTCTTCTATCCTGGAGCACTAGAACTAAAAATGCCTTTTATCAAGAATCAACTCAGTGCCTAGCACCATGCCAGGAGCTGTACACATACATTTGATCTCAGTTAATCTTAAAACAATCCTGAGGGGAATGGGACTGCCAAGATTATTGTGCCCATATTACAGATGAGAAGACTGAGACTCAAACTGTCTAAAGCATTTGTCCAGGCTGTGGCAAAAGCCCAAACCCTTTTTATTATAGTGCACGGGTATGATCGTTCATAGGGGCAAAGGGGAAAACATTAAAGAGCTGGAGGGAGCGGGCTTCTTACTCTTCAAACGGTCTCATTTCTGAGGAAGAGTCCACACCTCACAAATCAATGAAGTTTGACAGCAGGAGAGGGTGGGATGTATCCCTGGGCTTAATTTCTCCACACTCAGCTGCAACTCAGCTTTCCTCAACTGCAAATTGACATGGCAGCCTGGCCTCCGGGGCAGTCACAAGGAGCCAGTGAGAAAGCGTGTGTGAACACTGAGCACCCAGAGAGCACTCCATGAGCGGCCTCTATTCTCTTTAGAGGGCCTGCCTTCAGAGGCGGTCTATGGTCAGAGGGAATCTTGCCAGGGCCCACTTGCCCTGATGGTGACAGTGAGGTGGTTAAAGGCTTCCAGAAGGCAGCTGAGGGGTGTGGAGAGTCAAGCCCAGGGGGAAGGCCCGATCTACATGCTTGACCTTGGGGCAGGACTCTTGTCTCTGTGTTGGTTCCCTCATCTGAAAAGGAGGAGGTGTTGGTTTCTCATACATCAAATGCTCAGTACGTCAGAGGGCTTTTAAGAGCATTATGGGGAAAATGGTGTGAATGCATCTTGTCAACCCTAGATTTTCCAGTCTCCCCATTCCCCACCCCACCTGAACCATGAGCTCCAAAGGAAGAGGAGCTGGGTCTTGGACGCCCTTCTTGCTCCTGCCTCCCTCTGCCCCAAAAGGTGACCAAAAGCTGTTCGTAGCAAAGTTGAAAAGTCCATCCATCCACCAAACAGAGGATCATCTAACTAACTCAAAGTCTAAGACTAAGGAGATGTGGGGGTTTAGTTTCAGTCAGAGGTTGCAAACTGGCCATGAGTGGGCCAAATTCAACTCAGACAAGTTACTTAACTTTGCTGTACCCTGGCTTCCTCATTAGTAAAATGGGCATATTAATATCTGGAAGCACTGTCAAGGATTAGAATAATTAATATACGGAAAGTGCTGAGGACAGTGTCTGACACATAAAGTGTTGTGTATTTGTGTTATTATTATTAGAGTCACATGACATTTCTTAAAGTTTTTGAATTCAAATGTCTTCACATGACTTCTTCAGTTAACTCTAGTTCACACCACTCCCTCCTGTCCTGCACCGAGCCCCAGAAGACCCCTGGTTTGTGTCTCCTGACTGCAGCCTGGTCCTCTGCCCTCCTTGTTCCTGTTCATTAACAGGCTGTTTGGTGACACAAGCTGTCAACAGAACCATGAAGATTACAGACCTGAGCCAGACTAGTCCTCCCCTCAAACCTCCCCTCTCACCACCACCCCCGCCTCCCAAATCAGGCAAACTCAAGGCAAATCCCTGAGCTGGCCTCTCAGACCCATGGCTCCACCTCAGCCAGCTGTGTGTCTTTGGGCAAGCCCTTCCTTCTCTCCAGGCCTTAGTCTCCCCAGGAGTCAAATGGGCTCCAGAACCCCATCCACCTCCCAAGTGTGTTCTGAAATGGGGACAGTAGAGAGGACTTGTCATCCTCCCAGGGTCCCTGATTCCCTCTGCAGCAGAGCTGAGAACTCTAGTCCCATCCCCTTTTAAATATCCCTCTCAATGCGAAAGAAGAATCCCATGCCAGCTGCGACAGAACAGCAACCACAGAGCTCCGTGATTATCTGGATGCAGGTTTTATTATCATTAGGATGACTGTCATCGACAAGGGATAGGGGCTTAGAGGGTTATATACAAACCACAATTCCTAGGCGATGTTTCAATATTCCCACACACATTTATCCCACAGCCAGACACAGCACAACACCACAGGGTATGCCCCTACATATGCTTCTCCAAGCAGTAACACAGCTGTGGGTCAGGGCTCTGCCCACCCACAAAGGGATGCCCAGAAAGGAGAAGATCCTGGGTCCTGGGGGTGAAGTTTACACATGGAGAATCCTGCCAGGTTGGGGAGGGGATGGAAGCTGGATTTGCACACAACGCTTCAGTCCCACCCCACCCTCACTGGCTGCCCTCCCAGGGGCTCCCTGTCCCACTTGGGGAGTCTTTGCAAGACACAGAAGGACCATCTTAGCCAAGGCTAAGGAAGGAGCAGGCCTGTGGTGGGGGGGGTGAGAGGGGCTCTGGGATCTGCCCCCTTGCCTATGGTGCTAAGTGGAGGAAAGTGGGGTTTAAACTGCTAGGCTGATTTTCTCACATGCCTAAAGGAAGAGGGCAAGGCCAGGGGCTGGGATGTGTGTGAATATGGGGCTGGGAGGGAGGGGCTCAGGCTTATGGTCAGGGATCTAACTAGAGAATACAGAGGTCATGAATGGTGGGGCACACAGGGCTCAAGACATCCTTAGACCACAAACTCGACTTCAGGGAAAACTGGGTTCACTCCTCCAGGGGCTCTCTGACCCAGGCTGCCCGCCGACCAGGGTGCTGCCGCTTTTCCTCAGCTCCCTGGCTCCTACTCAGGTCATCCAGGAGCCCCAGCAGAAGGCCCGCTTGACCATAGGCTCCCTGGGGCCCACAGGGGCCTCCCAGGGCCCTCTTGCCCGGATGCTGGCGTTTTTCAGGCATCAGGTCTTCCTCTCTCTCTTCCTCCTCCTCCTCTTCTTCCCAGCTCCTTTGAGCCTTGGGATCTGCCAGCCTTCTGCCTGGGTGCTGCCGCTTCGGGACAGCATATGCAAGCCAGGGGGAGCGCCGGCCAGGATGCTGCCGCTTGTGCTGGGTTACATCGACTGACCATGAAGCCTCATCTTCTCGTCGGCCAGGGTGCTGCCGTTTGTGGGGTCCCACAGCCCCCCCTTCTTCCTCTTCCTCTTCTTCAACTCCCTCTTCCTCCTCCTCCTCTCTTTTGCCTGGATGCTGACGTTTGGAGAGCCAGTCAGATTGAAAGATCTGGGACGCTGGGGAAGGAAAGAGGTCAGTGAGGGGCCCCTGACCCATGTAATAGGCAGGCGCCTGAGTGCCCACTCCTGCTTTTCTCCCAGGCAGGGTACATTTCCTGCAGCTCCCACTCAGAGGCATGGTCTTGCACCTGCCCCTCAGGCCTCACAGATACACACATTCACACAATAGTCAAAGGCATTGCCTCTGGGTTCCAATCCCAGCTCTGGCGCTCCCTAGTTGTCTGACCATAAGCGACTCAATTGATCTCTGGGAGCCTCAGTTTTCTTCTGTGTAAAATCGTAATAACAGTACCTAACTAAGAGGTTGTTAGGAAGATCAAACAGTGTGATAAGGTGTTTGAAGTGCTTGGAATAGTGTCTGGCACAGAAGTGCCTAGACAGTAGTAATTCAAACTGTCACACACAAAGAAACTCTCTCCCTAGCACACAGAAGCTTCCCCACCCAGGGCCTGCTCTCTGTGAAATATTCCCAGCATTGAGACAGGGGAGGAATCTGACCCCGAGGAATGGTCAACTCCAGATCCCGCCTAGGCGCAGCCAGGGAGGGTTTCTGAGCTTCCGAAAGGCAGAAGGCTAGCTGACCAAGCCTCCCCTCCCCTTTGCCGGCAGGTTTCCACGGCTCTCCCAATAGCCTAGCCCCACAGCCCCCAACAGCCCCATCCACTCACCGGAGTGCTCACCCTGGTCCCCTTGCAGCCGCTGGATGTTTTCCCGGAGGAAGAGGAGGCGCTCCACCTGGCGCAGGAAGTCATCCAGGCCCGGATGCTCCGCGGCCGTCACTGCCTCCTGCTGGGCCGCCTCTGGCTGAGCACGGCCGCCGGGGACACCGGTCAGGTTCAGGGTCAAAGCCAGAGCGAGCAGCAACCAAGGGCCGGGCATCGCGGCGTCTGGGTTAGGGGACAGAGGGAGCCTGAGCGCACCGAATCACAGCACATCCCGCTCCATCTCCCCCGACGCCCGCCAGAAACAAACCACGCACAGTTCAACCGCCCTCCCAGAAGCAGGACCACTGCCCCTCGTGCAGGGGCGGGAGCAGCGGCGGGTTCGCCCCGGCTCTGCGTCCACACCTGTCACCTCTAGGCGTCCTCGCCCCCACGGGTGCCTGTAGTGCCTGCGCCCAGTTCTGCTTGCGCAAGGCAGGAGGCCGTAGGAACCCCATCGCCAGCGCCACCGCCACCCTTCAATGTGACGCGGAACTGGGGAAGCCAACGCTGGGACTGCCTCGCCGGGAGTGCAACCATTGAGATTGCAGCGCCAGGCACAGCCGCGACGCTAACGGTTGCGTCCCCGCCAAGACTCCCCCAAAGGTCCCCATCGCCACGTTCTAACTCCAAGCTCCGTGGCCGACGTCCTCATTCCAACGCGAAGATCCCATTTCTATCGCTAAGATTCAGGTTCTAAAGCTCAAAGTCTATTTGCAAAGCTAAGATTCTATTTCTAATGCTAAGCTTTCATGACTAAGCCAGGAATCTGATTCTAACGCTAAAATCCTAACTTCAACGCTAAAATTCTATTTCTAGCGTTGAGATTGGGATTCGAACTCCCAGGTTCTCAGGCCGACGCCCTGAATACCCAGCTCTGTCCGGCGGCACCCAGGCAGGGGGTGCCGCGGAGCTCCCACCCCGCGCTGCGGACTCTGGCGACCTGAGTGCCCAGCAGCGAGAGCCTCCGATGTGCCCGCGCCGTGCCTCCCGTCGGGTCCCCGGCCTGCGCTCGGGGAGGACCCGGGGGTGCGAGCACAGCGCCCGCCTGTGCACCGGCCCTGTTCTCCAGGAAGCTCTCAGAGAACCGAAGGTGAGGGCGGGCCGAGAGGGCTCCCTTTCCAGTGCTCCCGGACACCGTCTGCGGAAGGAGAGGGGTTGGGGCGGTTACCTGCCAGGAGTGGGCTCCACAGGATGGGTCCGGGATCCGGGGACTCGGGATCCGCAGTCGGCAGGTCAGGAGTCTGCAGCGCTGAGGACCCCGGGCGCCTGCCGAGCCCTCTTCAGATGGGCCGCCGCTTATATCTGCGCCAGGCGGCGGCTCGAGTGAGGTCAGCGGGGAGGGGTCGCGGCCGCCGGGAAGGGGCGCTGACGGCAGCCGGCCCCGCGGGACCCCGCCCGCCTGCTCCTCCGGAAATCTGGGGCGGGGACGGTGGGGACCGGAGCCGGGGCGCGGAGGCACTGGCCGCAGGATGGGGCGCCGGCGCGGGGTCGTTTCTGCACCACCTCTGGAGATCTGTTGACGAGAACACGCGTGTAGGGGGCAAAGGGAGGGACAGAGAGATTGAGAGAAGCGCACGATTAAACACAGGCGCACGAGAGAGCTAGAGGGCGAGACAAAGACCGAGATCCACACGGAGACGACGGAGAAACACAGGGCAGACACACACGAAAGGGACACGGCCGCAGAACCAATGTAGAACGCAGACGGGCGAGAGTAGAGCAAGAGAGAGAGAGAGAGAAAGAGAGAGAGAGAGAGAATGGGGGGCAAGTGGGAGCGGAGCTCTACTTTTTTTTTTTTTTTTTTTAAAGAGATGGGATCTCGCTTTGTCCCCCAGACTGGAGTGCGGTGGCGCGATCACGGCTCACTGCAGCCTTGAACTCCTGGGCTCAAGTCATCCTCCTGCCTCAGACTCCTGCGTCTCTGGGATTACAGGCGTGAGCCACCCCGCAGGCTCCAGGGTGCTAATCTTAACTGTGTCATTCCTGGCTAGTGCCTCCGTTTCTCTGGGCCTCAGTTTTCTCCTCTGTGTAATAGGAGCCAGAGGAAAGCTTTCAGAATTCCAAAAGTGGCGGCCTGTAGGCTACAACCAGTTCATGGACAATTTTGATTGACTTCCACAGTGTTTTGAAAAAAATCTGAATAACCAACATTTTAAAACCAAGATAACTTAGAAAATTTTGGATTTATGGCTTCTCTTGAAAAAGAATGGGCCCCCATTTCCTCCTGTCAACAGCCAGGTGGAGCTGAGCCTGGCTGCTCTCGGCCACCACAGTCTCCACCACTCCCTAATGTCTTCCAATGTGTTGCCCCTGTCACTGAGGAGGGACATTCGAGTCTGCAGCCCCTGCACAGGAATCTATTGGAGTTCACCCAACTCTAGCAAAGGAGGGGAGGGGAAGCAGGGAGGAGAAACACATGGGTGCCAAGGAGCTTGCCCCCCGAGTCAGTTCCCAAAGTCCCAGATGTGGGACTGCCACATCTAGCCCTGGGGACTGCCTCCATCTTGAAACTTTTTTTTTAAAACAGGGTCTCATTCTGTCACCCAGGCTGGAGTGCAGTGGTGCAATCTGACCTCACTGTAGCCTTGACCTCCCCAGTTCAAGGGATCCTCCCACCTCAGCCTCCGAAGTAGCTGGGACTACAGCCAGGCACCATAATTTTTATGGCTATTTTTTATTATTATTTCTTGTAGAGATGGAGTCTTCTTATGCTGCCCAGGCTGGTCTCGAACTCCTAGACTCTAGCAATCCTCCTCCTTGGCCTCCCAAAGTCCTGGGATTACAGGCATGAGCCGCCACACCCGGCCCATCTCTAAACATTTAACAAGCACCCACTATGGTGTCAGACTCCTTGGTAGGTCCTGAAGGCCTAGAAGTGAATGAGGCTCAGCCCCAGCCCTCAAAAAGTTCAGAGGCAGTGAGGGAGACACTGCAAACATGAAACCTCAGGCTTGGTCTCCCAACTAGACTCCAGGATTTGAAGAAATGCCACCCTAGCTAAGATGAAATCAGATAGACCTGTTGTCTTTTGTACACAATGACGAGGGTATAAATTGATCCAATCTTTTGGGTGGCAATCTGAAAATTTAACACATATGTACCTTCCATGAGACAATTCTGTTTTTCAGAATTCATAATACAGATACTCCCACCTATATACATGAGAATGTATACCTCAGGGTATTCAGTGCAGCATGGTTTATACAAGCCAGAATTGGAACCAGCCTGGATGTCTGTCCATCAGGAGGGGGACACTTAAGTCAACTAAGACCCATCTAAAACTGTGGGGTACTATGCAGCCTTTAAAAGAATAAGGCAGTTCCATATGCACTCATGTGGAATAAGCTCCCAGAAGCAGAGTAGAGAACTATGTGTATATGATGCTGCCATTTGTGGAGTGTGAGGAAGATGGGCTGCCAGGCTCTTATGTTCTTTTTGTTTTGTTTTGTTATTGTTTGGAGATGGGGTCTTGCACTGTTGCCCAGGTTGGAGTGCAGCAGCACAATCACTAGCTCACTGCAGCCTCAAACTCCTGGGCTCAAGCAATCCTCTTGCCTCAGCCTCCTAAAGCACTGGGATTACAGGCACGCACCAGTACCACACCAGGCTAGATTTTTGTTTTTGTTTTTGTTTTGTAAAAACAGGGTTTCACTATATTGCCCAGGCTAGTCTCGGACTCCTGGCCTCAAGCAATCCTCCAGCCTTGGCCTCCCAAGTGCTGGGATTACAGACCTGAGCCACCACACATATCCTTCTTATGTTCTTAGACAAGACCCATGAAGAAGGAAACCTAGAAGCCAGGGAAAGAGAGGACAGAGAGGGTTGTGGAGAGGCTTGCTTTTCACTGTCAGCTCTTAGCCCTGTTTGAATTTTCTCTCTGCAGGATTACTGTCCACAAACAAACAAACAGCACCAAAACTCCCAACAATAAGAACAACAGAAATCCCACCTAAGGCACCAAAGGCTTGGTGAGCATGGATGCATGGCAAAACTGCCTCCTGAAGGGTAAGATGGCTGGAACACTGCTCCCTGGTGAGCCCATTAGGTGCCTTTCTATCATCAGGGATTTGAGTGGCCTGTTTGGAGGATAGGTCCTGGTTGGATCGGGAGGAGTCAGGAGAGCTCCCCTGCAGCCCATGGAACCAGAGAGGATGGTAGAGGCCTCTGCGGTGTCCTTAGCAAGCCAACTCCCTCCCTCCCTCCCTCCCTTCCTTCCTTCCCTCCTCCCTCCCTTCCTCCCTTCCATCCTTTCTTCTCTCCCTCACTAAACAAATATTTACTGAGCCCTTCCTAAGTACCAGGACCTGTTCTGGACCTTGGGGATTGTATTTACCATGTGTTTTTTCTGATGCTTTGACATCTGAGGTCTTGCTGACCTTGGAGAGACTTCTAGGGTTAGCCACCTCCCAGAAAGTAAACAACTCTCCTAGGGGCGCCCCTTTCATGTGCAAACCAACCAATCCAGAGCTTTCTCTCCCCACCACCTTCTCTATGGAGTTCTCACACTCAGGGCCACTATCCCCCTCCCTAGTCACCTCAGGGCCACGTACCAGACAACTAGGGGACAGCCCCGATGACCCAGAGCCCATTGAAATTATCCAAACTAGCCAATCGTAAACCTGCTCACACTGTCTCGTCCGTTCCTCCCTGAGGAAGCCAGAAGAAAGGATTTCTCTCCTGTTTTCACCCACTCCCTGTGCCTCCTGACTGACCCCGGTGCTTCCCCCATGGCTCTGCAGATCTTGGTGTGCCCACTCCTCTTGGGAACTGTAAGTAACGAAGATCTGTTGGCCTCGCCATATCTGAATAATAATGACACCTACACTTTAAAGCAGGGGCCCAGCAGGGCAAGAAGTCAGGACCCTGTTCCCTCTCTCACAGAGCTTAGAATCTAGTCAGTGTGTTGCATATATTTTTCTAGCGTGCAATTTTTTTCTCTGATAAGGCAAATGGGCTTGAATCTCAAGACTGTAGTTGCTTATCAGATTAATACAGCTATGCTTTTGAAAATGAATAATGGGATAATTTAATGGTGAGTATGTACACTATTTCTAACTCCCAGTGCCACCCACAATACACACATACACACACACACACTCATACACTCACACATACTCACACACACTCATATACATACATTCACTGTCTCACACACACACACTCACACAGTCTCACGAACTCACACACTGACACACACACTCACACACTCACTCTGACACACGACACTCCTTGTAGGAGGTGTATTGAGTCTCAGGGTAGGTAGGCTCTGATTTCCTAATTCCTGCCTCCGTGAATTCTTTTTCCCTCTCAAAGCCTCTCTGCTCCCTATTCCTATCCATAGATGTCCTGCAGATGGTTAAGAGTCTTTAACAACCCTAAGCTGCAGACAGGCCTAAAGCAGTTTCACTGAGTTTACTTTTGAATTTTGTTTATGGTGGGTTTTTTTAATTTAAACTTTTTTTTTTTTTAAGAGACAGCCTCGCTCTGCCACCCAGGCTGGTGTGCAGTGGCGCAATCTCGGCTCATTGCAACCTCCGCCTCCTGGGTTCAAGCGATTATCCTGCCTCAGCCTCCCAACTAGCTAGAATTACAGGCGTGTAATTTTACCACCATGCGCAGCTAATTTTTTTTTGTATTTTTAGTAAAGACAGGGTTTCACTATATTGGCCAGGCTGGGCTTAAACTCCTGACCTCAGGTGACCCGCCGGCCTTAGCCTCCCGAAGTGCTGGGATTATAGGCGTGAGCCACTGCGCCTGGCCTAATTTAAACTTTTAATTTTGAGACCATTGTAGATTTGCATGCAGTGGTAAGAAATAACACCAAGAGATCATGGGTACAGTTCACCCAGCTCCTCCTAATGGTACAATGTCACAACCTGCACAGTGACATTGACAGAAGCCACTGATCTTACTCAGGTTCCCTCAGTTTTACTTTTGTGTGTGTGTGTGTGTGTGTGTGTGTGTATAGTTAGTTCTATGTAACTTTATCACGTGTAGTTTTGTGTATAGCCTGTATGGTGGCTTTTTAATTATAGTTATGTAGTTATTGTTATATATTCAATTCTTTCCTTTATATTCTGCTTTTGTTGTCAAAATAATGAAGATCTTCTCTTCCCCAGGATCACAAAAATTATCTCAGGAATTCCAGGAAGAAGAGTCCATTTATTGACTCTTTCTGCCTTTTATCCATAGAAATTCCATGTGGAAATCTCTCTAATCCAGATTCCCCCTTACCTTTTCCACTGGAGATTTTTTACCAAATTGAACAATAACTGTTGGTGCTAAATCCACCAGAAATACTTTTCAGTTCTCATTTCATTCACTGATTTCTTTATTCAACAAATATTTCCAGTGTGTGCTTAGGTCTCCGGCATGGTTCTAGGCCTGGGCACGCAGTACGGCAGAGGGAGATGCAAGAGAAAGATGGATGGGATCAGACCTCATGGGAACCTTGCTGGCTGTGCAGAATAAGAAGTTTGGATTTTATTCTCAAGGCAATGGGAAACTAGAAGATTTAAAGGAGGGGAGAGATCCAATCTGATTTCTTTTTTTTTTTTTTTCTGAGATGGGGTCTTGCTCTATTGCCCAGGTTGCAGCCTCAACCTCCTGGGCTCAAGTGATTCTCCCACCTCAGCCTCCCAAGTACCTGGGACCACAGGTGTGCACCACCAAGCCCGGCTAATTAGTTTTTATTTTTGTAGAGACAAAAATAAACTGTGTTGCTCAGGCCAGTCTCAAACTCCTGAGCTTAAGTGATCCTTCTGCCTCGACTTCCCAAAGTGTTGGGATTACAGGTATGAGCCCCCATGCCCAACCTTGATTTATTCTTTCAGATCATCCATCTGGTTGCCTGGTGAATTATAAGTGTACAGTTGCTCCTTTGTGATACTCTCCTGCCTTAGTTTACCCCCTATTCTATTCACTCTCTCCTCTCAGGTTCTGTCTCTCTCTGCTCAGCCAACTTCTGAATTATATGTGCTCCACTGGGCTCAGCTTGTGTCTACTGTCACCCCATACACTTTACCAGGCCTTCTTGCCCACCTCACTGAGCCTGGTCACATGCTAGTACCTCACAAATCAGCTTAGCCAGAGAAAACTACACAGTCATCAGAATACAGAGACCCCTCCCTGAGGTAATCCCCCTTGCCACCTGCAAGTGAGAGAAACTCACCCCAAATTGGCTTAAGCAAAATAAAAGGAGCATGTATTGGTCCATATAACCACAAATATAAAGACTTGAACTAGCTTCAAGCATGGCAGAATCCAGGGGCCCGACTGGTGTTACTATAGGAATCTGTCTCTTTTCTCCACTTGTGATCTCTACTTTCCTCTAGATGGCTTCATTCTCAGGCTTACTGTCCTCAAAGATGGAGAAGTGGTCATAGGCAACCCCAGGATCCCATTTTCCCAGCTGAGTTACCCTGAGAATAAAAGAGTCCTTTCCCAAAAGTCCAGTTCTCATTGTCCCAGCTGAGGTCACATACTCATTACTAAACCAATCATCATGATTCAGATTAGCCAAGCCTGGGGCTGGAGGTTGGAGTCAGCCCCATCTGAGCATGGACTGAGAGGGTTCTCCAAAGCCATACTGGGGTGCACCTTCCAGAAAAGGACGAGTTGAATGCTGAGCAGGTAAAACAACACAGGTCCCCTACAGCCTCATTGCAGGAATGAAGAAACCAAGGCTCCGAGGGGGAGAAAGGCTGCCTGAGTCCCTTAGCGAATTAGCAACAACCTAAGTCCGGTGCTCTACCCTGTGTCTTTCCTTCACACCAGCCAGGTCAGGGTTTGCTCTAAAGGACCTGGAAGTGACCGAACTCCAGTTGCCAGGCTGGGCTCTATCTTCCACTCCACATCCCACCCCCACCCCCTGGATCTCGTTCTGGTCTCATTGGCAGTAAATCACCATTAAGAGAGTATTGTCTTCTGGAGACTTTGGGGAGCTCCATTTCCAAAGCGCCTAATAAATGACTCACTAACAGAGTGATTTCCGACGCTGTGATGGGAAAGGAGTGCTATTTGGATGCCAGGAGGACTCTTGGCAGCTGACCACTCTGACTCCACTTAGACCACCCTTGGTCACTGCCCAGCTGCTGACACAGAACTATCTCAGTCCTTTTCCTCCAGTGCCCTTCAATCCCATATGCATTTATTGATCACCTTCTCCATGTAGGGAATGTGACGGGTGCCAGGGGATGGAGGGGAATGAACCTGTATGGTTCCCTGCTGCTGTTAAGACTGAGTCCATATAGCATACCCTGGCATTCAAGACACTTCATAATTGGGGCACAATCAGGCTCTTCTCCTGCCAATTCTCCCCTCCCTCCATATTCAGGTCTTCTCCACATCAACCAGTGAAACCCATTTGACAAACATGTTGTGCAATTTTACACCTCCATGGTTTTGCCCCTCTCTTTACCTCTGACACCTGCAGGCCAGTTACTTATTCTTCAGAGCCTGCTGCAAATGTCCTTCACTCTTGAGTTTTAGGGACAACAAGAGGATTCGGAGAGAAACACTCTTCTGAAGGTGTTAACAGTCTGGCAGGGGAGACATATGTGTCCACATAAATTACATTATAGCCATGTGCTTAAAGGCCATGAGGAGGGATCACAGATCCAGCCTGAGGGGCCAGGGATGGCTTGTTGGGTGAGTCTTGCAGTGAACTTGGACAAAGGAGCATGCCAGCAAGCCTTCTATGACCTCTTTTGCTGAAATAAATACCCATCACACTCTCTTCCTTCCCAGCCTTTATCACTGGGTGTGATTGGATATTTATTTATTTCCTTTTGCTTTTGCTTATTTTCTGCCTTTCCCACCAGAGCGTCAGCTCTATGAGGACAAAGACTTGGTCTGTCTGTTCCCTGCGGTTTGCCATCTCCTGGCACACAGCTGACACTCATTAAAGATTTGTCAAATGAATGAATGCATGCATGAATGAACTCAGCCTGGAGTGAGTGAGCATAAGCTGCCCAGGCCTGTCTTTTGTGCTGAGAGGGGTACAAGGGCAGCCCCACTTCATGATCTCTGGACAGACACCAGAAAAACGACATATTTGTGTGAGAGAGAAACAACGTGGGGAGCAGACTGGGAGGTGCACAAGGAGACCTGAAGGCCAGAGCAATCAGAGAGGGCTTCTTGAAGGTGGTTGTGGGGGAGTGGGGCTGCAAAAACCAGGCCCTGAAGGATGAGGACAGTTAGGACAAGAGGATGAGGCCAAGTTGTTCGAGTACCTTCCTGAGCAGAGGTGCCTCATCCCTACCTCCGCAGAGCAGCATGGTCCAGTGATGCATAATGTCCAAGGACTGTTGAGGTAGCTTATCACTGTGAGACACTGGGCAGAGTTGGCCCCGTCTGGGCTCAGGGCCCGAGACAGGCTCC
Source organism: Homo sapiens (assembly GCF_000001405.40). Taxonomy (NCBI): domain Eukaryota; kingdom Metazoa; phylum Chordata; class Mammalia; order Primates; family Hominidae; genus Homo; species Homo sapiens. The sequence goes on along the minus strand of NC_000003.12, from coordinate 129,966,610 downwards.
CAAACCGAGTCCTGGCCGACAAGTAGAAGCCATGAGCCCCTACCAACGCAGCCCCTGTGCCCCTTATGAGGTCTTACATTCATGTTGAGCAGCCAATTGCAGGTCTATATGAGCCAGGTTTTTTCCAAGGAACAATTTTCTGCCCAGCTGGAGCTTGCTAAGTGGAGCTCATGCTCAGGAAGGGCACTGGGGGCTGTGGGGCTGGCGTGGAGCTGGATGCACAGGAGCGACTTCTGGGAGCATTGTCTGAGGCCTTTAGCTGACACAGAGCATGTACACATCTGTGTGGGTGCCTGTGATTGTGTACGTGTATTTGCACCTTCACATGATGTACCTGTGTGCATGTGTATACACGTGCAGGTCCATGTCTGTATGGTGTGCACATGTACATGTGTCTAGTGTGTGTACATGCATATGTATGTGTATGCACATGCATGGGTCCATGTCTATAAGGAGCACACATGTGCTTGCACACCTATGCTTTGTGTGTGCATGTGCATATGTGTATATGCATGTGTATGGGTTCATGTTTGTTGCACACATGTGCATGTGTGTTTGTGCCTAAGTATACAGGTCATTGCATACATGTGGGCAGATGTATCCATTGCTTAGTTTAAGGCAGGGTTTAGAGGCTGGAGTAGGGTCCAGTTGGTTACTGGTGACCTCATCTGATGAGAGAACATAGCTCTAGATCAAATGTTCTATCCATGAATAGGACAACCTCACTGTTCCCTTCAAAACTACCTGTCAGCACTTCCCTTCTTCATTTTCTGCTAGCTAATCTGGTAAATTAACATGTGTTCACAGAACAGAGGGAATTTCCTGGAAGGCAGGGTCTGTGTTCATCTCCCACAGAGCATAGAGCACAGTGGATGCTGAGGAAATGGTGAATGCTGGAAAGGAGCAACAGGTAAGGTTTGGGAAAACGGGCCCAACACCTGGGTGGCCTGAACACGTTTTCTCATTTAATTCACACAGCCCTGTGAAGTCAGAATTACTCTCCCTGTTTAAAGAAATCAAGGCTTAGAAAGAGCAGCCGGGCGAGGTGGCTCACGCCTGTAATCCCAGCACTCTGGGAGGCCGAGGCGGGCGGATCATCTGAGGTCAGGAGTTCGAGACCAGCCTGGCCAACATGGCAAAACCCCGTCTCTAGTAAAAATACAAAAATTAGCTGGGTGTGGTGGCGTGCACCTGTAATCCCAGCTACTCAGGAGGCTGAGGCAGGAGAATTGCTTGAGCCTGGGAGGCGGAGGTTGCAGTGAGCCGAGGTTGTGCCATTGCATTCCAGCCTGAGCAACAGAGTGAGACTCTGTCTCACAAAAAAAAAAAAAAAAAAAAAAAAAAGGGAATGACTTGTTCAAATTCACAAAGCCAGGAAATAGAGGCGCTCAAATTTGAACTCAAATCTATGTTACAGCAAAGCTTGTCCCACTCTACCCCACTAGATGAAAATAGCTAATGCGTTAGGATGGTGATGAATGTGGGGAATTTTATTTTCCTTTTACAAAATTCTCTTTGGTTAAATCTTCTTCTCACTAAATTATAGAAACTTTTTATTAGAAAGTATTTTGAAGGAATAAATACCCAAAGCCATCCTTTAACCCAGAATCTGATGTCTCAAATGCCCAAGATGGAGAAGGAGTGAGACTCTGACTGTAGAAATATGTATCATGAAGCTTGTCTTTAGATCATCTCGAAAGAATATACGCTAATTCTGATGAGGACGGAAATGGTTTGGTGGACCAGGGTGGTAGTAGGGGTGGGAGTGGGCAATAAATGTCTTGCCGCCAGGAAGCCGACAGATGCGGCGGATCGGACACCTCATCATCCATCAGGCCCGCCAGAGATAACAAGCCCCCACCCCTGCCATCGCTTCTCTTATTACGGGAGAAAAATGAAAACCGACTTCAAATTACGTTGGCAATTTAGGTATATTTATTTTGCTGTCAGCCACAGGCAGGCTCTATCCCAGTGTTCTGGGCTAATTAAGAGCTTGTCCTCAGAATACCTGGAGCCTGCACCCTGAATATTGCAAATGGGGGAGCAAGTATTAATATGCCAGTAACACTGGTCTTGAGTCAGGGTGACAACAGATGGAGGAGGAGGGGCCCAGCGGGTGCTGACGGAGACCTTCGATATGGCCCAACAAGAGGCCTGCATCCCTCTATCTAAGGGTTCTCTTCCACTGCCCCCTGAGAACCCACGTGTGCATCTGGAGTGGACACTGTGGTGCTCTGGTCACCTGTGTTCACCTTTGACTTCCAGGAAGCAGAAGGACAGCTCTTTCCTTCTTTGCCTTTTCCTTCCTCGCATTACATGTAGCCTTGGTAGGATACCCGCCATGCTGTCCAACCTCTCAGGGCCAAGCAGTGGTCCTGTGGCTCCCACTGTTTCCTGGGACCTAGACTCTCCAGCAGAGAGATGGCAGATTTGCTGCAGGGACATTTGCAGCACAGCAGCAGCTGCACAGGAACAAGACGGTTGAGAAGTCCTTGCTGCCCAGCTGGACCCTGCAGGGGCCTCCTTTTGCTCTCAAGCCTGACCTTTTGGTCTTCCTGATGAGCAACAAATCCCCCTTTTCAGCTAAGCTCGCTGGAGTTGGGTTCTGTTGTCACCAATCCTGACTGATAAGGCCTCCTCCTCTGTACTGGGGCCTCAGGGGAGTCATGGACTCAAATCCTGGCTGTGATTTCAGGAAAGAGAGATTGAGACGGGGAAGAGGTTGGAAGAAGGATCTGAGGACGGGGAAGGGCAAGGGGATACAATTGGGTCAAATGAACATCAAGGACGATAAGAAAAAAAAGAGTCCCACTTAGAGGCCCAAAGATGAAAGAAATGCTCTCCACATGATCACAAATAATTCTCACAAGAAATGTGAAAGTCTTATTCCCATTTGTATAGGTAACTATTATTTTTGTCTGTTCAGCCTCCAGGCCCCTTCCTTCTTATAACAGGACCCCGGGTTTCCAAGGGGTCCTTACCTTCCCCTGCTCTCTAGCCTGTTGGTTTATGTGGAGTTAGCACCACCCTGGGATCCTTGTGCCCCAGGCCTAGCCAATCAGAGTGTGAATCTCCCATCTACAGGGACTGGTTCAAGGACAGATGTATGGCCAAGCCAGGCCAATGAAACTCAAACTTGAGATTTTTGCTGAAACGGTGTGGGAAGAGGTGTTCTTTCATGCTTGGGGTGTAGGGGTACAAGCCAAGCACTACTGGGCACTATTTCTGCTACCTCATGGAAAGATTCTGCTTACGAATGATGCCACCACAAAGTTAATTGAACCAGAAAGTGTAACTGGCTTTCCATGACACTGTTTGAACATATCACTGGACTCTTCAGTTACAGAAGCTGATACATTACTTTTTTGTTCTACTCAGTTTGAGCTACCCCTTCTGTCACTTGCAACCTAATGACTAACAGATGAAACTCAAAGATGTGAAGGGATCCCATGGCTGGGCCATGGCTTATTCCATGCCAGGGCAGGAAAAGGGAGCCACATTCCCTGGCCTTAGCCTCTGCCTCAAACTCTGAAGGCCTGTGCTTGAGTACCAGCTCTGCTACTGATTCACTGCAGGCCTTAGGTACATCACTTAACATCTCTAGGGCTCAGTTTTCTCTTCTGTAAAATGAGGATGATAATAATATTTACATACTGGTAATAATAACCTAAAATTTTCAGCAAACACTAATTGGTTACTACATTCTGGTCCTTATGCAAAGTGTTTTACATGTATTATTACATTAAATCTTCATAAAATTGAATGATGTGAGTATTGCAGTTAATCCCATTTTACAGATGAGAAAGCTGAGACCCAGAAGGTTGGGCAACTTGCCCGAGGTCATCAGGTGGAAGACCAAGTCTTTGACTCTAAATCACCATGTTATACACTCTCTCAGATGTTGAAAGTACAGCTGGCAGGGAAGGGGCAGGGTTCAGGGAGCTTTGTCCTGCCTGCTGGCTCACCAAGGCCCAGCTACTTTAAAAAATAATAATAATGGCCGGGAACGGTGGCTCAAGCCTGTAATCCCAGCACTTTGGGAGGCTGAGGCGGGCGGATCTTGAGGTCAGGAGTTTGAGACCAGCCTGGCCAATATGGTGAAACCCTGTCTCTACTAAAAATACAAAAATAGCCGGGCGTGGTGGCAGGCGCCTGTAATCCCAGCTACTCGGGAGGCTGAGGCAGAATTGCTTGAACCCGGGAGGCAGAGGTTGCATTGAGCCAGAGATTGTGCCATTGCACTCCAGCCTGAGTGACAGAGTGAGACTCCGACTCAAAAAATAATAATAATAATAATAATAAATAATAATAATAATAAACCTATTCTGCACCTTACAGAAGGAGCTCCAGTTCTCCCTGAGAAGTGTCCCCATTGGGGAAGTGACCCAAAGTCTCATGTGTCTCTGGGAGATAAATCAAGATCAAGGCTAGGGCCTTGGGACTCAGCCTAGCCCTGTGAACAATATCTCACCTGGACTTTCAAAAGATGGGTAATTTCTCTGGTCTCATTCATATGTGGTCATCAAGGGGAGGCCAAAACACTTTTAAGGATAATACGCTTTAGGTGACTGAGTGGAAGAGTGAGTAGGGAGTGAATAAATGCATGAGTAAATCTATGAATGAGTGAGTGAGTGAGACAGAAGTGAACTGGTTTCCTGCCCCAAGGAGCTCATAGGGAAGCTGCGAGACAAGAAAAACAAACAAACAGACAAACAAAAAACAGCAGAAACAATTAAAGAGCAATTATGTGTCAAGACACATAGCACTGATCATGTGCTATGGGGGAAGCAGTCTCCACGGACAGGAGATGCCCAGTCAAGCCTGAACTATGAGGTGAGGCTAATCAGGAGCCTGGAAGGTGATTAATATTGGAAAGGCCAGCGAAGAGCAGGTAGGGCACTCAGCCAGGAGCACTATGGGCAGGTAGAGGTGTGGGGCTGGCTGAGGGTAAAAGACTCCCTTTTTTTCCTGCAGACCCACCCAGCCCTCACCATTTCTAATACCTTCATCGGCACTTGGCCAAGAGTTACCTGTGGATGTAGATCTAGGTCATGGATACTGTGGGGAGAAATCAGAAGACAGGGCTGTTCTTAGCTCTGGCTCATAGCTAGGGCAGAGAGGTGGGGCAGGAGCCATCTGTCACAAGCATCCTGGGTCTAGACATGCCAAAGGTTGAGGCTGGATGCATCAGCAGGGCTACTCTGAGAGCCCGGCTGGCTACAGCCAGTGGATTTTCTTTTAGTGGTTTTGCAGCCAGGGGGCAATTCAGGATCGTCATGACTGATGCTCAGGCAAGCAAGGGCTTCTGAGGAGGAGCCCAGCACTTGATGGCCCTCCCCATAAACCTGCTCTCAAGCCCTCCTCCTCCACAATCTAGGCCCGGCCAATTGCAATTACAGCCAATGTTGCACAACGCAGAGAGGAATGTGGTCATGACAAAGTTCTGATGAAGGAAAAGCTTGATCGTATCAGGGATTCAGCATGAAGCAGGGACAGGACACTTGGGCACTGTCTGCTCTTGGGGGACAGGCGTGGGCCGGATGTCACACGGCAGTGCTGAGGATGTACCTTACACAGCAGGCATCCCATGATTGATGAGCCACTCAAGCCCAATAGGTAGGGAAATTAAAAGAAATTTAAAAAGGGAAATTAAAAGAAATTAAAAAAAGAAAGCTTAATAAATTCTGGCTGGAGCCATGCAGACAGATCAGCCCTCCACACCCTATTACTGAGAGCTATTTTTTAATGGGTATCCAGAGAAGTCACAGATAGATTCACTGCAGCTGTTGGGATGATGGGAGCTTGGGCTTCGATTGCTCAACAAATTTGTGATACTTTCACCTGGGCTTGGTGTAGAACGCTGAGTGTTGAGCTGTCCTTGCCAGGTCACAGCCACCAGGCTGGTTCATGCTGGAGACAGAGCCCAGGAGGCTGGTGGGGGTGGAGAAGATGTCACTCATTTGGCATCGCAGCTCCTAATACAGGGACTCTGACACATACAAGGGTGCACAGACACAAGACACACAGGACACATAACAAGGATACACATGGACACACAAAGTTACAGATACCAAGAGAAACACCTTTAGAGACACATATGGGGACCCAGACACACATAGGACTTATACAAGGAGACAGTGACACACACACAGACCCACAGGGACACACAATAGACACACACAGTCATTCATACAAAAAGAAACACACAGGGACACGAAGAGAACCCCAGATATGCCCAAATGTACAAAGACACAGCCTCACAGGCACAAGCACAACACACACACACACACACACCCCTCAGGAGAGACTCCAAGCGAAGACAAAGAACCCCTTTGCTGGAACAGGTAGGCACTGTGTGACCTCAGACAAGACTTCAGTCTAACCTCTAAGCTTCAGTGGCCTCATCTAAGAAGTGAGAATCAAGGCCAGTCACAGGGGCTCACACCTGTTATTCCAGCACTTTGAGAGGCTGAGGCAGGAGAATGGCTTGAGCCCAGGAATTTGAGACCAGCCTGGGCACATAGTGAGACCCCATCTCTATACAAAAATGCTTAAAAATTAGCTGGGCATAGTGGCACGTGCCTAAAGTCCCAACTACTCCAGGAGGCTGAGGAAGGAGGATCACTTGAGCCCTGGAGGTCAAGGCTGTAGTGAGCTGTGATTAACCTACTGCACTCCAGCCTGGATGACAGAGCAAGACCCTGTCTCAAAATAAAAAAGCCAGACGTGGTGGCTCACACCGGTAATCCCAGCACTTTGGGAGGCTGAGGTGAGAGGATTGCTTGAATCCAGAAGTTTGAGGCCAGCCTGGACAACATGGTGACACCTTGTCTCTACAAAAAATTAGCTGGGCATGGTGGCATGTGCCTGTTACTCCCAGCTTCCTGGGACGCTGACGAGTGAGGATCACCTGAGCCTGGGCGGTCAAGGCGGCAGTGAGCCATGATCATGCCACTGTACTCCAACTTGGGTGACAGAGTGAGACCCTGTCCAAAAAAGAAAAGGAAAAAAGAAAGAAAGAAAAAAAAAGGAACAGAAAAGAAAAGGGAAGAAGCCAGCCCGGTGGCTCACGCCTTTAATCCCAGCATTTTAGGAGGCTGAGGTGGGAGGGTTGCTTGAGCCTGGGGGTTCAAGACCAGCCTGGGCAGCATACTGAGACCTGTCTCTACGAAAATTTAAAACTTTTTTTGAGATGGAGTCTTGCTCTGTTGCCCAGGCTGGAGTGCAGTAGTGCGATCTCAGCTCACTGCAAGCTCTGCCTCCCGGGTTCACGCCATTCTCCTGCGTCAGCCTCCCGAGTAGCTGGGACTACAGGCGCCCACTACCATGCCAGGCTAATTATTCTTTTTGTATTTTTAGTAGAGACAGGGTTTCACTGTGTTAGCCAGGATGGTCTCGATCTCCTGACCTCGTGATCCACCTGCCTCAGCCTCCCAAAGTGCAAGGATTACAGGCGTGAGCCATCGTGCCTGGCCCTAAAACTTTTTAATTAAAAAAAAAAAAAAGAGGAAGAAATGGGAATCATGATCCCCACCATGTGGGCTGCTGTGAGGGCTGAATGGGACAATGACATCAAGTGCCAAGTGAAGGGTTTCACAGGCAGGGAACCCAACGCCTGTTGGTTCTCTAAAACCAAAAAGAGAAGGAAGTTCATTAACAACATAATGGACTATATTTTACAAATAAGAATGTCTAGCGGTCCAAAAGGGACTATCCCAGAACAAGAAGTCGCTTGTTGCATCACAGCCCATGAAGCAAAGGTCAAGCCCAAATCAGGGCCGCACCTACACTCACTGATCCCACCCCACAGTGCTCTGTCTGGAGGCCCAGCACTCATGGTCTTTTGCGGTCAGGCCCTTCAACCCCATCCTACCTCATATCCACTGCTCCTCTTCCACCTCAGTTCCAATCCTACAGTTTCCTCACTCCCTCAGACGTGCCACGTTGTTCCTGCCACCAGCACCTTTGGACGCATGTCCCTCCCATCTGGGGCGCCTACCTTCTCCATCTGCCTCTCCAAGTCATATCCCTCCTTCCCCAGCTTGACTCCCACTTGTCTAGGAAGCCTGTTCTAATGCCAGTGAACTTTTTCTGTCCTCCTCTACAAAGTCGTGACTTTTCCTTCCTCCACACCTGAGGCTCAGAGAGGTGAGGTGATTTTCTCAGGGTCACACGTCTCAAAAGCAATAGAGCTGGGATTCAAACTCAGGTCTATCTGACTCCACAGTCCAGTCTCCTCTCCCTCTTTCTTTCTTTCTTCTTTCTTTCTTTCATTCTTTCTTTCTCTTTTTATTTCTTTCTTCTCTCTCTTTCTTTTCAGATAGGGTCTCACTCTGTCACCCAGGCTAGAGTGCAGTGGTACAATTATAGCTCACTATAACCTCAAACTCCTGGGCTCAAGTGATCTTCTTGCTTCAGCCTCCCGAGTAGCTGGGACTACAGGTACACATCACCACACTTGGCTAATTTTTTTATTTTTTGCAGAGACAGGTCTTGCTGTGTTGCCCAGGCTGGTCTCAAACTCCTGTCCTCAAGTGATCCTCCTGCCTCAGCCTCCCAAAGTGCTGGGATTACCGGTGTAAGCCACCACGCCAGTCCAAAGCAGTCTCTTTCTATTACATTTTCTAAGATGCTAGAATTTAGGAGTTACATTTCATGCACATTTAAGTTGTATCCATATTTTATTATTATAAGCAATGCTGTAATGAACATCTTCACAGTTTAGTTTATGTTATTAGCATGAATTCCTAGGAGTGGAATTAAGGGTCAAGGTGGAATTAAGGGTCTGAGCATTCATTCAGTCAACAGATATTTCTCATCACTGCCACTGCTGCCAGTCTGGTCCATCCTCACTCACCTGGATGTCTATGGGGGCCTCTTAAGTAGACATACTTCTTCCTCACCTCCTCCTGTGGTATATTGAAAATTAGTCCCAATTCTTCACCTCTTCCTGCAGCCACACCTCTGCCAATGGGATGGATAGATTTCCGTCTCCCTTAACCTTGGCCTTGGCTATTGAATGGCACTGGTCAACAGGATGGAGCATAAGTGGGCCCCCACCTGGGATTTAAGAGCATTTTCACTCGCCCTCTTGTGCTTCTGCCATGGCCACTGGAACATGCCTTGGCTCACCCGCTGCTGCTGGGAGGAGAATCAGATACAGTTGGAGCAGAGCCACTCCAACTTGTCTGCAGGCCTATGAGATGAGATGATCATTGTTTGAAACCACTGGGTTTTGGGGTGGCTTGTTATGTGGCATTATTGTGAAATAGCTGACAGATATGCCCCCCACCTCCAATCTATTCTCCACACACCACAATTATCTCTTTAATATTTTTTAAATAATTTGTGCTTTATGTGCTGTAGAACTTTGCCACTCCATGCCCAAGGACCCTAGGAGCAAGCTGATGAGATACAGGAAGCAGAGGTGGCTGATCAGGCCACAGTACACTCAGATCTCTTCCACATTCATGAGGGTTGACTGAGGCCAAGGTTGCTCACAGAGGAGGTGGAAGAAGCCTGCAACCCTCCCTGGAAGGAGAAAGGGAAGGCCAGTCCCCAACATTTACCAGGGCCTGTTTCATCCTCTCAGGGCCTGTTTCAACCATGGTTCTAACTATCCCCATTCCACCCACAAGAAAACAGGCTCAAAAAAGCAAAGTGGTTTTCCCAGAGTTGCATGATGAGGACATAGCAGTAGTGGGATTGGAACCCTGGCCAGCCTGTTGCCAAGGTATGTCCTGCCCTCCATGCCTTGGCTGGCCTGATCCTAGGGAGTCAGATCAGACCTCTCCCTATGATCACCCCTTCTGCCTCTGGTTATGGCTACTTTCTGGCTGTTTGACCTGAGGCAAGTGATGTCACCTCTCTGGGCCACTAGATTGGAAACTCTGGGAGCAGGGAATTTCTTTTGGTGACTGCTCTATCCCTTCATCTAGAACAGAGCCTACCACTTAATAGATGCTGAAGTAAAGAATGAATGAAAGAATAAATTAATAGTTCTATTTGCCTATCTCTTCATCAAAACCCCAGGATTTCTTCTGTTGAGCACCAGACAAAAGGGTGCTTGAATTTGGAGACTATTTTGATAGCCTCCGAGTGCAGAGAGCCCTGGGAATAAGGCCAGCCTGACTCTAGCCCAACTATTCTCCAGGAGAAGTGACTTATTTGCTCCTCAGTTTCTTCTCTATCAAGTTGACCTCATTGTAGTTCCTACCACAGAGATTGGGTGAGGTTGATTGAGATGTAAGCCACCTGCCACACAATTAGTACCTAATAGACAGGTGGTTGCCATCTGGACTAATGGTAGATGTTTAGGCTAAGTGACCAGCTGAGGATATGACTGGGCAGAACCGTCAAGATGCCCTAGAGGGGAATGTTGAGGTCTCCAGGCAGGAGACCTTAACTATCTCCTGAGAACAGTATGAGCAGTAAGGTCTCTGGCTCTGGGCAGATGGGGGCATGGACAGGAAGGGGGTGAGAGAAGCAGACTCCTGGCTGTTTCATTCCTTCTCTGAATTAGGTCCCCACCAAGCTGTCCTTGGATAGGAGGGACGCGGAGGTGGCAGGCACTTGTAATGAGCAGAGAGCTCGCCCAGGCAAGGCCGGCCATTGATCGCCTGGCTCCTGACTTGTTTCAGCAGCAAGGGAGGAGGGAGAGGGAGTATGTGTGTCCCCAGGAGCAGCATGCAAGTGTCCAGGCATCAGCGTGACCCTGAAGTAGAGATGGCGGGGGGTGGCAAGGGGGATGGCCAGAGGCCCCCAACCCATCTGTGCTCAGCACACATGAGTGTGCCAGGTGAGTTCCAGGTACTTGGCATTCGTGATCTCCTGTAATCCTCACAAAACAATCTCACAAGGAGGAATGCTTACCTTATGGAGATCAGAGCTCGAGAAGCTCAGAAAGGGAAAGTGATTTGCACAAGGTCACATAACAGTCACCTGTGACTTCCAGTCTAAAAGCCAAATATGCAAAAATTGTGACTTTCTAGGTTGGAATTTTGTTTCTACCTCAAGCCCCCTTTCTACCAAGAAGTGGAAACCTAGTCTTGGTCATTTCAGAACCCCCCACTTCAGAATATCCCTGCCCCCCGACCCAGTCAGTCCTAGGCATCCCCATCTGTTCTGATTTTCTATTATTGCATAAGGAATCACCCCAAAATTTACAATTACAAACCATTATTCTCTTAACAGTTCTGGGGTAAACTAGGCTCCGGCAGGTGATTCTTGCTCAGAGTCCCTTGTGCTGTTGCAGTTGGACACTGGCTGAGGCTGGAGCTATCTCAAAGATTTCTCAGTCACACGTCTGACAGCTGATGCTGGCTATTGGTTAGAGCCTTAGTGAGGACTGTGGTGTCTCCCAGTCACCTGGGCTCCCTCACAGCATGGCAGCTGGGGTTCAATAGCAAGCAACCCAAGAGAACCAGACTGAAGTTGTCTCACCTTTTACAACCTAGCCTCAGAAGTCACAGAGAATCTTTGTGCTGTAGGCACATGCCACATTCAAGGGAAGAGAACATAAGTCCCACCTCTCTATGAAAGGAGCAGCAACATCTCAACAGGAGCCCATGGGATGGGAAGCTGTGGCCATCTTGAAAATACAACCTGCTGCACCATCTTTCCCCTGAGCTGGCCTCGTCCCTGACTGCTCTGCAGTCAGCGGTCCACATTCTGCAACCCCTGGGTCCTCACTGCAAGCTCCCCTTGCCTGGGCCTCCTGGGCCGCATCCATGCCTCTTGAAATAAGGGGATTGTTTTGCTGCTTCTCACACCAAACTGGAGAACACAGGGACCTCATGAAACCATCTTAGAATGCTTTCTCCTTTCTTCCCCTTTCTCTCCTTCAGACAGGAAACAGAGGCCAGGGCCTGTAGTAAGTGCTCAGTAACTGTTAGCTGCTGTTTGTATGGTTGTTGTAAGGCACTGTGGGAGTGCAGGGGAGGGAGAGATCCTTGTGCCAGAGGTGTGGAAATAGTCAGGGCAGGTCTCACAGAGGAGGTGACATGGGCTGGAGTTTATTAGGCGGGGAAATGAGAGGAGGGACAGTCAAAGGACAGGGGACAAAAAGTGCCAAGGTGTGGGGAGTGAAGGGCACATGTAACATTCAGGACAGGGAGGGGCCCCACCTGCAGGGCTGGGAAAGGCCCCCCATGCCAAACCATTGTGGGGTATGCATGCTTAAAGCAGAGAAAGGAAGGTGGTTCAGGACTCAGAGAGGCTGGCAAGGCTACCGAAGGGGCTCTCTGTGGAGGTCCACTCTAAAAGCCACAGTTCCAGATCTCCTTCAACCACCACCCCAGCCCTCCCAGGGCAGTATGCCCAGCTTTAGGATCTTGGAGAAATGAAGCAGTTCAAGCTTCCTTCCAGCTTCATAGCCCCTTTCCTTCTGACAGGGTGAAGGTGGACCACACCGGGTGTTCTCAGTGGCTTCCCAGGGCAGCTGCCTCAATTAGAGGATTTGCTAGTACGTAGCAGAGTGTGCAATAAATCTTATTGTTTCATTAGGAGCACTGTGTTTAATTCAGATAACTCTACTGCTTGGCAAGGGAGAAAACTGCAGCCCTAGGGGCTGAGGAGAGACATGTCTATTCTTGACTTCTGACAGAGCCCCTTTATCCAAGTCTTGACAAATCCCCTACCTGTCACCACCTCCTCCCTCTCCCCCAGCACTATCCGTAGACTGGGATCCTCAGACTCCCTGAGATTCTGATTCCGCAGGTCTGGGATGGGGCCCCAGATTATTCTGATGCAGGTGGCCCACAAACATACTTGAGAAACCCTATTGAGGAGGGAGATTAAGTTGAGATCATGAAGCACCTCGAATGTCAGTTAAAGAAGTTCAAACAGCTACCATCTGCTTGCTTTGCACCAGCTGGACATGGGGCAAGATTTTGTTTGAAAGAAGGAGTTTGAGGCAGGTGTCGTGGCGTGTGCCTGTAATCCCAGCCTGAGATAGGAGGATTGTTTCAGCCCATGAGTTCAAGACTAGCTTGTGCAACATAGCAAAATAGAAAGAAAGAAAGAAAGAAAGAAAGAAAGAAAGAAAGAAAGAAAGAAAGAAAGAAAGAAAAAGAAGGGAGGGAGGGAGGGAAGGAGGGAAAGAAAAAGGAAGGAAGGAAGAGAGGGAGGGACAGAAAGAAAAAGAAAGGAAAGCAAAGCAAAGGAAACGAAAGAAAGAAAAAAGTTTGAAACCAGAGCTGGCCAGCACCAGGGTTTGTATTAACAAAAATAATTGGTTCTTCTGACAAATGTTCACCAACACCTGCTCAGGGCCAGGCCTTGTCCTGAGGACCCTGAGGTGGGAAAAGTTAATTTAGTCTGGGTTAGTCTGGTTGCGGGGGCTGAGGGGGGACAGACATGGGAATAATGGCCTGAAATAACTATGTGACCCAGAAGCTGAATTCAGAGCAGTTCACAGTTCTGCCACAGCTCAGGGAATGCAAGGATTAACTCTGCTTCTCAGAGATGGGGGCTTTTGTGTTGGGCCTTGAAGAATGAATAGGAGTTCACCAGGGGAAAAAGTCAGGAGGGTGAGGATGGAGTGGAGAGGGGTGGTTTGAACTTTCTTCTTTTCCCAGAGGGTCCCATTTTCCCAGAGGGCCCTTGTGGCCCTCCTTACGGAGTCTGCTGGTAGTCCACGTGACCCAGGTTGCTCCTGGCTCCCTGGGCTCCCCACCCCCATGTCACCCTGCCACACATCCCAAGGCCTGCTGCCTTGAGTCACCTGGCAGAGTGGGAATCTCAGGGTAACAGCCTTCCTTATTGTGACATAATGAAGAATTCCGGCTACTGCAGGGCCCTTTGAAAGGACTTCTTTTCTTCCTTGGGCTTTACAATATTTTTGGACTCTGGGTCTATTATTCTCACATTTAATTAATGTTCCACTTGACTAATAAGATATAACAGAAGCAGCTGGGATCGCCTGGAGGCTGGGGGCTGGGAGAATTGCATGTCTTGGGAAGAAGAGAGGCTTCAGGGGCTAGCAGCCTTGGGAGGGGGCAGACACGAACTAGGTTAGGCATGTACTGGGGCTCAGCTACACCACTGGCAAGAAATCCAACAAAGCGCCATCCTAGCTCTGTGCTTTGCCCTGACTCTCCTCCTCATGAAGGCTTCAGCCCCTTTGAAGTCCCACCATTTCCATAGTCCCTTCATTCTTCTACCTCCCACCACAGCTTGGGCAGTGGTTCTCAAAATTTAGTGGGAGGCCAGGTGTGGCGGCTTATGCCTGTAATCCCAGCACTTCGGGAGGCTGAGGAGGGTGGATCACTTGAGGTCAGGGGTTTGAGACCAGCTTGGCCAACATGGCGAAACTCTGTCTCTACTAAAAATACAAAAATTAGCAGGGTATGGTGGTGCACGCCGATAATCCCAGCTACTCAGGAGGCTGAGGCATGAGAATCGCTTGAACTGGGGAGATGGAGGTTGCAGTGAGCCGAAACGCGCCACTGCACTCCAGCCTGGGCGAGAGAGTGAGACTCTGTCTCAAAAAAAAAAAAAAAAAAAATTAATGGGGGTCAGAAAATGTGTAGGTAGAAATGGGGCATGTGCATAAAAATGCAGCCTCCTACCTCCGCTCTAGGAAATTGGCAGGTTGAAGCCCAGGAATCTGCATTCTGCATGGCAGGCTCAAGTGTTTCTGATGCAGGTTGAACTGGGACAACTTTGGAAAATCATGATTTCGATAATAAACTCCATTCTCGTCTATAAAAGGAGAAAAATCGTAGGACCGCCTGTGACACCACTGTAAGCATGGGGAAGTAGGTAGGATGGGCCTGGCCACAGTAAGCACTCCATACACATCAACTGCCATGGTCGGGGCGAGGGACTGCATCTGTCTAGTCCCCTGCTGTCCCAGGCTCCAAGGGGGTGATCAATGAGCATTTGGCAAGTGGTTTTCTTTGGACAGTTCCAGGAGACAGTGGGAGGGAGAAAAACCAAAAGTTACTACTTCATCCTCCTATACTGTTTGAATGTTTTAACATGAACACATGTTATCTTCATAATTTTTAAAACTTGTTTAATTTTGAATTAGTTTGTTAAATGACGAAAATCACCTTCTTGATTCTTTGTATTCTCTTTGTAAGACTTTTTAATTAAGAGGAGAGTCGGGCAGAATCTGAATCCATGGGGCCTGTGGAGGCTGTGTATCAGCATCCCCTGGCATGCTTCTTTAAATGCAGGTTCCTAGGCCCCAACCTAGGCCTCCTGAATCAGAATTTCTAGGGCTGGCACCGGCCTTACTAACAAGCACTCCAGGCATCATGCTGCAGGTGGCTTGTGCCCCACCAGTAAGAGGCACTGGGAGAAATGCCGCCTTGGGGATGGAGGCAGGCATCTGACAACCCGAGGGCAGAGACCCCGGCCTCCCCTCCCTCCTTTGTACCTGCCCCAGCCCTCAACTCCAGTCTAGGCACTTAGGAATTCAGAAAGACACACTGGTGGATGAAAAGTGCACTGAGGGGCCGGGCACAGTGGCTCACGCCTGTAATCCCAACACTCTGGGAGGCCGAGACAGGAGGATCACTTGAGCCCAGGAGTTCAAGATCAGCCTGGGCAATATAGTGAAACTCTCATCTCTCTTAAAAATTAAAATTATAAAATAGAGCAAATCTCTACATTAAAAAAAAAGGTGCACTGAAGCCCAGAGATGGGCAGTGACCTCTCGAAGAAGTCAAACAGAAAGAGAATGTGAGGCAGCAGAGGAAGTCGGTTAAGAGCCTAGGCTTTGAGCAGGACCTGCCTGGAGTAAAAAACAAAACAGCTGTTTCCTCAATGAGCTGTGTGGCCTTGAGCAAGTGCCTTCACCCTCCCCCACCAACTGCCCACATGGCTCATTTATAAAATGGGGCTGTTCACCCTTATCTCAGAGCTGGGGTGGAATAAAGTTTGTACGTAGAGGTACATGGTGCTATGCCTGACTCCTGCTAACTCATAGTAAATGGAAGCTGCTATGTTATTGTTGACATCACACTTTTCAACACCACCAACACTGAGGCAGCACAGGGCAGGGGTTGAACACCCAGGCTCTAGAGCCCTTGGCTGCACTTGTTATCTGAGTGACCTTGACCAAGTCACTTCACTCCTCAGAGCCTCGGTTGTCCCACCTGTAAAATGGGGATGAGGATAATAACCATAATACTAACTTCACAGGGCTGCTGTGAGTTAATATTTGTAATGCCTTTAGGATGGCGTTTGGCACACAGTAAGCCCTAAGTGAATGTTGGCTGTTATTATCAGCAGCCTGGACTAGACGCCTGGCTGCACCCTGGGGAGGAAGCGTGCCTGCTTGCTTCACTCCTCATCCCCAGGCCCTCTAGAAGTCCCAATAAAAGCTGACTCTATAATGAATGTACCTCTCAACCAAGCACGGCTGTGGCCCACACAGCTCTGATGAAAACGAGGCCATGGCAGCAGCACCACATCCATACAATTAAGCAGCTCAAAGGTGCTGGGGAGGTGGGTGTCAGCCTCAGGATATCGATTTCCTGGGAGGACCACAGCCTGGGCCAGACAGGGGCCTCTGCTGAGATGGGAGACAGCACAGCAGGACTAGAGCCAGGGTGAGGGACCTGGAGCCAAAACCTCTCAGGCCAGGGTGTCCTGGGAGCTGAAAATGTCCCCTTCCCTCCAGAATGGCCACATATGTGCCCATGCTTCACAATAACATCGGTATGACACAGGAGCTAATACAGAATGAACATTTAGAGAGCATCACGGAATGTTCAACCATAGGTACGATCATGACCCATTTTATACACAAGGAAACTGAGTCCCAGAGAGGCAGAGGTACTGGCCCAAGGTCACTCAGCTGGGATTCAAGCCCCCAAGTCTGTCTGAGTCCAAAGTCTTTCACTTAACCACCACCATATTGCCTGTCATTTATTACTTGAGAAATTCATTGCTTGTCCTCAGTTTTCCCATCTGTGAAATAGTCATGGAGGACTGCGTTCGATGGTCTTGAAGGGCTTGTCTCGTGTTTTTGTTTGTAGTGAATTAACACTTCTCGGGGATGTTTTGGAGTCAGTCAGGAAGGATGAGCAGAGGCCAGACCATGAGCTGAGAATGAATCCTGCTACTTCCCAGAGGGCCTCTCACACCCACCATGGCCCAAATTGTCATTAATAATAGCTAACATTTCCAAGGGCTTACCATGTGTCAGGCACTGTTCTAAGAATATGAATTATTTCCATCCTAACCTATCCCTGAGGCAGCCACTCTACAACTATTTTCCACCTGAAGAAACTGAGGCATAGAGAGGTTAAACAATTTGCCCATCTAGATCCAATGGGTGCTGGGCCCATATCCCCTTTACTTGCTGACACACCCATTCCCCAGCTGCTGTGAGTGTTGGCTGCTGAAGAGCATAGCTGCCCCCTTCTCCTGAGACCTGTCCTTGGCATATGGGTGCCACCTTACCCCAAATGTCTTCCCACAGGGGACAATTCTTGGGCAATGGCTGTCTGAAGTGTGAGTACAAACAACTGGACCATGGCCCCAAGAAACCTGTTACAGGTTGAACTGTGTCCCCCCAACAGAAGATATGTCAAAGTCCTAACTCCTCATATCTCAGAAAGTTACCTTATTAGGGTCATTGCAGTTGTATGTTAAGATGAGGTCATACCTGAGTAGGTATACTCTCATTCCAGTATGACTGGTGTCCTCATAAGAAGAGGAGAAAAGACACAGAGAGATGACCATGTGACAATATAGACAGAGACTGGAGAGATTCATCTACAGGGCAAGGAATGCCAAGGACTGCCAGCCACCACCAGAAGCTAGGAGAGCTTCCAACGGGCTCCAATCTTAGGACTACTGTTGGACCTGCTGGAAACAAGTTTCTTCCCTCCTTTTGAGGTTGCAGAGTGGCCAGCAGTGTGCCTGGAGAAGCTAGTGGCCTTGGCCGGGCATGGTGGCTCACGCCTGTAATCCCAGCACTTTGGGAGGCCGAAGCGGGTGGATCACGAAGTCAGGAGATTGAGACCATCCTGGCTAACACGGTGAAACCCCGTCTCTACTAAAAATACAAAAAATTAGCCGGGCGTGGTGGTGGGCGCCTGTAGTCCCAGCTACTCAGGAGGCAGAGGCAGGAGAATGGCGTGAACCCAGGAGGCAGAGCTTGCACTGAGCCGAGATCGTGCCACTGCACTCCAGCCTGGGCAACAGAGAGAGACTCCGTCTCAAAAAAAAAAAAAAAAAGAAGAAGAAGAAGCTAGTGGCCTCCATACCACAGGGAGAAAGGAAGCGTTGAGTGGCAGAGTCAGGGATTCCTGGTGATGTCCACAGTGGCCGTTTGGAAGCTTAGGCTACCCTCTTCCTCCACCTGCCTTTAGCAGCTCCCCATCTTACCCAGACTAAAAGGCAGGCCCACCCAGTCCACCCCCATTGGTCTGACCTTGTCTCCTCTGCTGTCATCCACACTTGCTCCTCACCAGCATCCGGCCTCCCAGTCCCACCTTGGCACCATTGCACCTGCTATTCCCTCCATCCAGATACTCCCTAGAGAGCTCCATGGCTCGCTCCCTCCGTCCAGCCTCAGCTCAGATTTCACCGCCTTAGAGAGGCCTCCGTTGGCCACCCACACTAAAACAGCAGTTCCTATCACTCACTATCCTCTTACCTAGCTTTATTTTTCGTCACTGCACTTGTCACTACATTGTTTATTGCTGTGGAAAAGACTTCTTGATTCTAGCTCAAATGTTGTCTTCACCCTGAATAGTAAGCATGCATTGAGCACTACTGGATACAAGGTCCCACTGTGGCTAGGGATATAATCAGAATCACAATACTTATGTCCTTGGTTTACTTTCACAACTCCATGGGTGTCCAGCAGCCCACTGGAATACACAGCAGGGGCTTATACGTGTTCTTCATGGAACATGAGACTCCATGTTGCTGTGGTTAGCTGAGTTCCTTCCTCTTCAAAAGTTCTTTTATTTTAGCCATTTCTCTTCACTGTCTGTTTCCCTAAATGAAACGGTAGATACAACAACTGCCAGATAAGTGGATTATGTGAGTTCTGGAAAGTCCTGGAAATGGACAGTCCTGGATTCAATTTCTAACTCTGCCCTTTTTTGGCCATAGTAAAGGAGTGTATTGCTGAGTAACAAATAACCCTGCAATTTACTGGCTAAAAGCAACAGCAGTCATTATAGTCTCCTGGGGGTTGACTGGGTATGGTAACGTGGATCTTGCTTGGAGGTATTTTTATGTAGCCGCAATCCAAGAGCTTGAGTTATTTTAAAGGCTTCCTTACTCACATACCTGGTGGTTGCTGCTGGCTATTTGAAACATCAGCCGAAGGTGTTGGCTGAAAATCTACACCTGGCCTCTCCATGTAGCTTGAGCTTCCTCACAGCATGGCAGCTAGGTTCCAAGAGCAAGTGTCCCGACAGAACCAGGTAGAAACTGTGTTGCCTTACATGACCTAGCCTTGGAAGCCACATAGCATTCTTTGTGCTGTACTCACATATCTGATTCTTGAGGAGAAAACATAGACCCCACCTCTCGATGGGAGGGCTATCAGTGTCACATTGCATGAAGAGTATGTGGAATGGGAGATGTAGTTGTGGCCACCTTGGAAAATACAATCTGCCACAAATGCTTTTAGGGCTAAGCAGTGAACAGATATGTGGGAGCTATCTGGTATTTTTTGAAATATGAGGGGTGGTGGGGTCCCTGTCCTCCTGGAAATGTGTGCCGCTTCTAAAAACATCCAAATTCAGATTAGAGAAGCCACAATGTGAGCCAAATAAAACAAGTCCTTGGCTGGTTGCAACTATGAGTTGCAACTCCTGCCCAGGTAACCAACTGTAGGGAAGGGAATTCTTACTTACTGAGCAACCTCCAAGTGCTGTGGGCTGCACTGGCCCTTCACATGTGCCACAATGATTGTGATGCCTATTTTACGTCTGAGGAAACTGAGGCACCAAATGGTGTTAACCAGTGTAATGCCTACATGATCTAGCTGAATTTCTGCCCTGCCTTAACTCTGCTTATCTTTAAAAAACAGGATGCCAAGGCCAGAAGTTCACCTTTGTGACCAAACTGGCTGAAACTGGTGAGATGCAAGACGGCAGCTCACTTGACCTCCAAAGAACCTCTAACTTCATTATAATATAATTTCCTTGCTAAATGACACTCCCATCAGTGTCATGACAGTTGACATTGCCATGACAATGGCCAGAAGAAACCATAAAGGGACAAAAAGGAAGGTAGTAACTCTGGTTCCAAGGAGTTCTCCCATTTCCAGAAAAGACATGGATATTCCTCCCCTTGCTTTTAATGCCCAACTTTTTCATTAAAGATGAAGCCTGTATCTATGGTTTCCCAGCTCTCAGGAGCTGAGAAGTTGATTTGTGAGCCAAACTCCCACTTCTCAATAAAGGCCGTCGAATAAAGCATGCACTGTTTCATGCTTACTTTTGGGTTCGTGTATTGGCTTCACAGCACAGAACAGGAAAAGGCTCCATCTTCTGGGGGACAGGCTTTGTTGGTAACAAAAGGACTGGCCCAGAGTCAGAGTTAGGAAGTGATAAAGCCAGGTGTCTGCCACAGCTGGTTCTTTCCCCTCAAGGGCCCACCTTCCCGGGCTGTGAAATGGGAGGGTGAATGGTGCTAACTGTAAAGTGCTGAGCACACACTTGGTTGTGATTTAACACTGATACTTAGAAAGAAGTGTT
The DNA here is from genome assembly GCF_000001405.40 of Homo sapiens. Lineage (NCBI taxonomy): Eukaryota > Metazoa > Chordata > Mammalia > Primates > Hominidae > Homo > Homo sapiens. Next base: position 129,945,929 of record NC_000003.12, on the reverse strand, counting down.
GAGATGGCCAGGAGTGTTTTTGCAGATGGAGAGGTGAAAAGCAGAAATGGGGCTGCAGGGTATAGTAAGGGTGGGAGCCCCACCCTGCAACCCCAGGAGAAGCTTTGGAAAGGCATCACCAGAGAGGAGGGCGTACTGGTGGGCAAGGGTTCTGGAACAACAGGATATGAGCCATAGTGGAGCAGCTCTGAGGAAATGAAGAAAATCCAGAGATGGAGTTGATTATAGGGAAACAAAAAGGTGATGAAGGGATCCGTGAGGATGCGACAGTCACCGAGGAAGTGGCAGAGACTGGGGAGTTGAGACTCCCGGGGCAAAGGCACCTGTCCAAGCCCCTGGAAGGGGGACAGTGATGCCACTATGCTCCTAAAATGCCTCTCACAGAGAACAGGAGTCGGTTTCCTACCCCTGTTCGTCTGCTAGAGGTCTTTGACGGCAGTGCCACTATCTCCCACCTTCAGGCCTCGGCAGCCTCCTCACCAGCTTCCCCACGGGTCTCCCTGTCTCATCTTGCCCCCAACAGTCTATTCCAGAGTGGTCTTCTAAAGGGTACAGCAGATTCTGTCTCTGCTGCAAACCCTCCCACAGTTCCTGGCTGCTCTTTGAATAAAATGCAGACTCCCATCACCCTGTTCTGTTGCTCTAAGTGGCCCTTCTTACCAGCTGGTATTTTCTCCTCTACCTACTTGTTCAGTGGTTCTTGTCTGTCTCTCTTGCCAAGCTCCAAGACAAGGTTGCCATGCTTCTAGGTGTAACCTCGGCACATAGTATGTTCTCAAATATTTGCCGACTGCTTCTGTTGTAATCTTTCTGTCTCTGGAAAAGGCAACTCTAACCTAACAGTTGCTCAGGCAAAAAAACTTTTGGATCATTCTTGATTCCTCTCTTTTTATCATGCCCCACCCCCAACCATCAGCAAATTGTATTGGCTCATCCTGCAAAATACATTTGGAGTTCCACCCACCCGTGCACCTCCAGAGCAGCCACCCTGGTCCAGCCGCCTTCACCGCTCACCCAGACAACTGCAGCAGCCTCCACTCCAGCCGCCCTGCTTGTGCCCTGGCCCCTGTGATCTACTTTCTACACAGCTGCCAGGCAGTTTTCTCAAAACCGAAGTCAGATCACGTCCCTTCACTTCTCAGAACCATCCTAGGGCTCCCTGTTTTGGGGAGAGTAAAAGCCAAAGTCCCTACAGTGGCCCGCAAGGCCCTGCACCACCACCTGCCTCCTGTACTCCTCTGTCCTCCCTCCCGCCACTCTCCCCTTAGCTCAGTGTCAGAGGACTTTTGTTGATACCTGAAAACACCATGCCCATTCCTGCCTCAGGGCCTTCGTACTTGCTGTTCCTTCCACCTGGACTGCTGGGCCCAGATCTTTGCTTGGCTCACTACCCACCTCTTTTGGACCCCTGCTTAAATGTTCCTCCTCCTGGCCATCCTGCACAGGACATCACATATGCATGCATGCACACACACGACACACATGGGTATATGGGCACGCACACATACACACACCTGTGCACATACCGACCAACCTTCTCTTAGTTGTTACCTAACACATTGTGTATTTAATGGTCTCTGTTTTTATCCGTCTCTCCCGCCAGAATGTAAATTCAGGAAGGCAAGGACTTTATCTTTTTTGCTCATTGCAGTGCTCTCGGCTTCCAGCACTGTTCCTGGTACCTGGTAGCTGCCATGAATTACTTTTTAAGTGAGTTCAGGCTGCAGCCATCGAGGCAAGGCACACTGGAAGACACACACATTCACACACACATTCACACACACATTCACCCAGACATACTCACACACATACACACACACACACACTCACACACATTCACATTTAAAAGCTAAACCAACTGGCCGGACATGGTGGTTTATGCCTGTAATCCCAGCACTTTGGGAGGCCAAGGTAGGCAGATCTCTTGAGCCCAGGAGTTTGAGACCAGCCTGGCCAACACGGTAAAACCCCATCTCTACTAAAAATCCAAAAATTAGCTGGGCATGGTGATGTGCGCCTGTGGTCCCAGCTATTCAGGAGGCTAAGGCGGGAGGATCCCTTGAGCCTGGAAGGCGGAGATTGCAGTGAGCTGCGATCGCACCGCTACACTCCAGCCTGGGCGACAGAGTGAGACTCTGTCTCAAAATTAATTAATTAAAAATTAAAAACAAATAAATAAAAGCTAAACAAACAAATGAACAGACAGACAGCTAGAATAAACTCCATGCCCCACTCCGCCCTGCTCCACAGTTACTGACTCATCATTCCTCGGGTGAAAACCTGGTTGGGACCGCTCTTCTTTTTGTCTGCCCAGCACTCACTGTCCCATCTTCTGAGACCACCCTGCCTTTCCTTTGGAGACCACCCCCAACCCCAATATCAGTCCAGGGGCATTGAGTGGACAGATCTATCTGCATACCAGAGGTGGCCTGTGACTGAGACCATATCCATGAGAGTTGCAGCAACTAGCTTCTGGATAGGCATATGACACAGTCTAGGCCAATCAGTGATCCCCAGGATGTCTGTGGAGTCACTGTGAATGAGGTCGTCTCTTGCTGGTGGTGGCTAAGTTGTTTTAGGGAGTCTGCCTGGAGCTGTGGGCAGCCACATTGCCACTGGGAGAAGGAAGGTGGCCTGGAACAGAATCACTACAGAGAGAGGCAGAGCTGAGAGATAAAGAGAGGCAGATGCATGATGACATCATTTGATGGACTTTTTAGTTACATGAGGGAATAACTTTTCATTTTTTCTTTTTTTTCTTTATTGTTTTAACTGTTAGGGCCTCACTCTGCTGCCCAGTCTGGAGTGCAGTGGTGTGATCACAGCTCACTGCAGCCTTGAACTCCCAGGCTCAAGCAATCCCCCGCTCTCAGCCTCCCGAGTAGCTGGAATTACAGGTGCATGCCACCACACCCAGTTAATTTTTTTTTAAAAGTGTTGTACAGATAAGGTGTCACCTTATTGCCCAGGCTGACCTCAAACTCCTGAGCTCAAGTGATCCTCTTGCTTCGGCCTCTCAAAATGTAAGGTTTACAGGCACGGGCCACTGCACCGGGCCCTCTTTTTTTCTTAACTCAATTTGAGGTGGGTTTCTGTTACTTGATCATGACTAAAACAATGTCTTGAGACGTGTTTCAGAATTTCAGACACTGTCACCCTGCCTCAGGCAAGGACACACTTCCCATGAAGCTCATTCCTTCTGCAAACCTTTGCTCAAGCCATGCCTCCCTCCCAGAGGGCCCTCCCGTTTCTATCCAAATCTTGCCAGTCTTTAAGGCCTGTCCTTTTCTTGAAGCCTGCCCTGATTGCACCCACTAGGACCTTTCCCTCCTCTGGCCTCCCTCAGCTGTTGGACACTGGGTCAGGCACAGTCCCCAGCTCCTCCCTCCTCCATCTCCTTTCAGCTTCCCACCACTCCTCAGTTCCAGGCAGCCCCGGGCACTCCTGGCCCCCGAGGTCCTGGCAGAGGAACCCAACCGGACCACTCAGGTCAACTTTGTGGCTCTGCTTCCCCATGGTGGTACAATTCGGAATTGCACTGAACTGTGCGGCCCTCCCTGAAACCCAGCTCCTCAAGTCCCCACCGAGAGCTGCCACACTGAGAGTTCTGTATTTTTACTTGCTTTGTCTGGCAATCTATCCCCTACCTCTTGGAATCCTTTTCATCAACACTTAGTGGGGTTTTGTTTGTTTGTTTATTTGTTTTTTGAGACAGTCTTGTCTCTGTCGCCAAGGCTGGAGTGCAGTGGTGCAATCATAGCTCGCTGCAGCCTCGCCTTCCTGGGCTCAAGCAATCCTTCCATTTCAGCCTCCTGAGTACCTGGGACTACAGGAGCATGCCACTCCATCCGACTTGAAGCTTAGATTTTTTTTTTTTGTGGGGGGGATGTATTCTCCCTCTGTCTCCCAGGCTGAAGTGCAGTGGCACAATCTCGGCTCACTGCAACCTCTGCCTCCTGGGTTCAAGCAGTTCTCCTGCCTCAGCGCCCCAAGTAGCTGGGATTACAGGCGTCCGCCACCACACCTGGTTAATTTTTGTGTCTTTGGTAGAGACGGGGTTTCACCATGTTGGTCAGGCTGGTCTTGAACTCCTGATCTCAGGTGATCCGCCTGCCTCAGCCTCCCAAAGTGCTGTGATTATAGGCATGAGCCACTGTGCCCAGCCAAAGCTTCGATTTTTTAAGACAGGCCTTTGGAGCCCTGTAAAAGGGGCTGCCACAACTTTACCCAGCCAATCGCAGCCATAAGAGAAAAAGGGCTCATTTCTCAAAAGAGGCCAGAAATTTGGGTTTTAGATGAAATTTCTTGATTTTTACAGGTTGGCAACCAATTCAAAGTTTATACATCACTATGTAGGTCAAACAAAACATATCTGGGGGCTGGGCATGGTGGCTCACGCCTATAATCTCAGCACTTTGGGAGGCCGAGGTGAGCAGATCAACTTGAGTCGAGGAGTTTGAGACCAGCCTGACCAACATGGTAAAACCCCATCACTACTAAAAATAGAAAAAATTAGCTGGGTGTGGTGGAGCATGCCTGTAATCCCAGCTACTTAGGAGATGGAGGCACAAGAATCGTTTGAGCCTGGGAGGCGGAGGTTGCAGTGAGCCAAGATCGCACCACTGCACTCCACCCTAGGTGACAGAGTAAGATCCTGTCTCAAACAAACAAACAAAACACATATGGAGGAAATTTGACAGGAAGACAACAATCCGTTTTTTTTATCTTGAGCTAAGTTTCCCATTTTGCAGACAAACTGAGACCCAGAGAGGACAATGAGGCCGTTTGGTCACAAGGCCCGCAGGTGACACTGTAGGACTGAACACCTGGTCTCTCCTTGCTCCTGGTGGTTTGCTGGACTCATGGGTGTTTGGTGGAACAGATCCTTCCCTCACATCCCTTGGAAAGAACCGACTCTGCTGACACCTCGATTTTGAGCTTCTGATCCCAGGTGAAGAGAATACATTTTGCTGCTTCAGGCACTCAGTGTGTGGCACTTTGTTATAGAAGTCCAAGGTGCATAATAGCCTGGAAGCTAGGTAGAAATCTGGGATTACTAGACTCTCGGAAGTTTCACATGTGAGAGTGTGGGGAAAGTCGCCCCAGCTTGCAGCCCACCCGCTTTCTCTTCCTGACCCCAGGCTTCATCCTCTACAGCTAAGGTCTTCACACACTTGCAGATGAACACCCCAACCTGCAGCTGTCCTTGGCCAACCTTCAGATTTAGTAGTACACACGCCAGAGTGATGCAGGTGAACCCCAAAGTTAGGGCTTAGCCTTGGTAGGTTCTTGGCTTCACTCAGGAAAGAATTCAAGAGCCAGCATCAGTGAAAGAAAGCAAGTTTATTAGAGCAGCAGTGTACAGCAAAACGCTGCCCTATAGACAGAGCAGAGCTCTGCCACAGGCAGAGGGGCCCAGAGTAGCACTCGTGCATTGCTGCCTAGCTCTTTTTAGACCCTCTCTTAATTATACGCTAAATAAAGGGTAGGTTATTCATGAACTTTCTGGAAAATGGGTGAGGAGTTCCAGGAATCATATAAGGTAACTTCCTGGGTGTTGCCATGCATTTGAAAACTGTCATGGGGCTGGTGGGAGTATCTTATGCAAATGTATTATAATTAGCATATAATGACTAATGAGGGCAACTAGAGGTTGCTTTCATCACCATCCTGGTCCTAGCTGGTTTGCACCAGTTTCTTTGCTATATCCTGCCTTGATTAGCAGGTCTGTAACTGAGGCTTGGAAAACAAGTCCTGCTGCTCTCCCATCTCGAGAGGATGGTCTGCCCTTAGGAGCGTGGGCTGGGAAAGAGGCCCACACAGGCCCTGGAAATGGGCTTCAGGACACTGGGACATGGGAACAGAGAATCTTCAGGTACTGAATACTCATGGCCTGGTCTAGAAGGGGATGGGGTGTGGTCCAAGAAGGGGTGTCCCCTGGGTCCTGCAAATTCCTTGCCCCATGGGAAGAGAAACAGCTGGAGGGGCTGCCTAAAGCACAGGGGCATTTCTAGGAGCAGGAAAGCAAGAGGTCATCAGGTCAGACTGGCTGAAGGAAGACTGAGGCGGGAGCTGAGAGCAGAGACTTCAACCATGACCATGCCTGGACTCTCCAGATAAAGCACTGGTGAAATCAAAGACCAACAATGTCAAGTATTGGCAAGACTGTGGAGCAACTGGAACTCTCATTCCCTGATGGAGGGAATGCAAAGTACAAGCTATAGCCACTTTTCCTCGTCATTTTACATGAAGGGCAGACATGCACTTAAGGTAGGACCCAGAAATTCTGCTTCTAGGCAGACTTATGTCCACAAAAGGCTGCCACAGGGAAGTTCATGCAGACATCCTCATAATTGCCAAAAGCCAGAAACAGCCCAATAGCCATCAATGGGTGTCTGAATAAACAAATTGTGATCAATTTACACAATGGCGCATCCATACAATAAAAAGAACAAACTACCTGTGCACACCACAGCATAGATGAATCTCAGAATCATTATACTGAGCAAAAAAAAAAAAAAAAAAAAAAAGAGTCCAGACATAAAATTCTACTAACTGGACGATCCTATTCATGTGAAATTCTAGGAGGGGTTTCATTGGTTTGCAGTAATAAAGGTCAGAACCGTGTTGGGGGAGCGGAAGGACAGTGCTCACCGAGAAGGGGCATGAGGGAGCCTGCTGGGAAACTGGAAGTGTTCTACTTCTTGGTGCAGGAGGGTAGATGCTATTTAAAAACCCTGATGTGGGTGGCACAGGAGGGTAGATGCTATACACTTCAGATTTTTACACTTTGACTTATATATACATATTTGATATATATGTTTTTGTATATGTATATGTATATACGTGTGTGTGTGTGTGTGTGTGTGTGTGTGTGTGTGTATAATCCCTCTACCCCAAGGCCGGATCAAGACCTCTGCAGGACCTGAGCTGACCAGATTGTGGAGTGCTCCACCCACTCCCCCAGTTATACCTTAAAGTGAAGCCGCCAACTCAGTGAAGAGACGATGAGAACAGGCACCCAGTGAGATGATGGCCTGAGCCTGGGCAAGGGCCTTGGGAACAGGGCAGGCAGCAGGGGCAGGCTGGGAAATATTGATTTAGGAGACAAGATGTGGGGGTGAGTGAGAGAAGAGGGCTGGGGGTGTCACTGAGATGAGGAGCTCGGAGATTCTGGTTGACAGTAAGGGAGGATGAATTCAGGGTGGAACCTGTTGATTCTGAAAGTCTGGGAGGCCACCCAGGTGGAGGTGCTCAGGAGGCAGCTGGTTAGATGGATGGTCTGAAGCCCAGGAGAGGAGGCAGGGATGGGGAGAAAAATCTGAACACCCTGCACCCACCGTTTGCCACCACCATTTGCCACCACCAGGTGTCCATGGGCCAAACTTGGCACACAGATAGGTATCATTTGGTCCTCAAGATGTTTTATAAACCTACACTAGTTCTCAGTGCTTGAAACATTGGAGAATTTCACTAAAAATCCAGATTTCTGGCTTCTCTTAAATAGTCAATTGGGCAGTAATGACATGCTTTCCCACGAGACAAAAACCAGCTGGAGAGCATTAGCCGGGACTTGAGCTCCCAGTAATCCCCAGTCCCCGTACTCTCTGTTGTCTCACAGCCTGCCCACTCCCAACTGTAGGCATTCATTCATACATTCATTCATTCAACAAATCACTGTCGAGTGTCTACTATGTGCCAGTGAACTGGACAGGGACAATGATCCCTGCCTTCCTAAAGCTCAAATTACGTGAAAGGAGACAAGACAATAAGCAGATAAATAACTAAAATACGCACGTAGCTGAGGGCAGCCAGAGAAAAATCAAGCAGGGGAGGGGCTGGGGTGCCAGGGTGGAGATGAGTATACGGGTTTCAATAGGTGGCCAGGGAAGGCCTCACCAAATAGGGACATTGAGCAAAGGCCTGAAGGAGGGGAGCAGGCGGACTGTGTGGATATTGGGAGGAGAAAGTTCCCAGCAGAGGGAGCAGCCATGCAAGGCCGCAGGGGCACAAGCGCTCACCGGTCAGAGGGGCAGCGAGGAGGCAGCGTCCGTCCGGTGAGTGAGGCCCAGATGAAACTGGGAGGACACATGGGCCAGGTGTTGAGGGGCTTTGAGGGCTACCTGGCCTTTACTCTGAGGGAGTGAGAGACACAGTTCTGAGCAGAGGCTGGAGGTGACAGAGTTTCACAGGACCTCTCTGGCTACTGTGTGGGGAGTGCAGATAGGGAGACCAGGGAGGAGCATTTTCCCCTTGCTTTAAAAAGAAAAAAACTGGCCAGGCGCAGTGGGTCATGCCTATAATCCCAGCACATTGGGAGGCCAAGGCGGGCGGATCACGAGGTCAAGAGATCGAGACCATCATGGCCAACACGGTGAAACCCCGTCTCTACTAAAAATACAAAAATTAGCCAGGCGTGGTGGCATGTGCCTGTAGTCCCAGCTACTCGGGAGGCTGAGGCAGGAGAATCACTTGAACCTGGGAAGCGGAGGTTGCAGTGAGCCGAGATTGTGCCACTGCACTCCAGCCTGGAGACAGAACAAGACTCGTCTCAAAAAAAAAAAAAAAAAAAAGAAAGAAAAAGAAAAAAACTGCAGTAAAACATAGGAGGCAGGAGAATAGAGTCTGCAGGCAGGGAACCTAAGGCAGGCAGCCTTATGCCTCACTCCGACTTCCTTGAACTAACTTGAAAGGAAAATCCTAACTTTCCATGCCTAAGTAAAAAACGACCAGAGGCTACTCCCTTTGCAAACCCCCAGCCTTTTCTGGACAGCAGATGGGAAATTGGCTGTCCACAACCAATCAGACTGATTGCCTGTTGAGTCTTCCTTCGCAACTTTGTAACTTCACTCCAGCCTCTGAATGGTTGCTGTCCACAACCAATCAGACTGATTGCAGCTGAGTCTTCTTTTGCATAGAAGTATAACTTTGTAACTTCACCCTAGCCTCTGATTGGTTGCAAAAACCACCTGACTGATCACGGGCTACCACTTCATTTACATGAGGTAAGCATGAAGTGCCCAGTGGGAAACTTCTAGAGGGTATTTTGACCCAAGAAGATTCTGTATGGCTGGCCCTTGAGCCGCTGCTCTTGCCGCTCCCACGCTGTGGAGTGTACTTTCGTTTTCAATAAATCCCTGCTTTTGTTCTTTTGTTGCTTCATTTTCTCTGCTTTGCTGGGCGTTTTGTTCAATTCTTTGTTCAAAACACCAAGAACCTGGACAATTGGCAGTCACGACCCTTTACCAGTGACACATATATAACATAAAATGTATTGTTTTAGCCATTTTAAGTGTTCAATTCAGCGGCGTTAAGTACATCCACAATGTCATATAGTCATCACTACTCTATATTTCCATAATGTTTCATCACCCCAAACAAAAACTCTGAACCCATTAAGCAATAACGCCCCATTCTCCCTTCCCCCCTGCAGTCCTTGGTAACCTGTAATTTACTTCCTGTACTGATGAATTTGCCTGTTCAAGACGTTTGATATAGGCTGGGCATGGTGGCTCACGCCTGTAATCCCAGCACTTTGGGAGGCTGAGGTGGGCGGATCACTTGAGGTCACGAGTTCGAGACCAGCCTGGCCAACATGGCGAAACCTCGTCTCTACTAAAAATATAAAGATTAGCCGGGCGATTAGCTGGCCATGGTGGCAGGCACCTGTAATCCCAGCTACTCGGGAGGCTGAGGCAGGAGAATCACTTGAACCCGGGAGGCAGAGGTTGCAGTGAGCCAAGATCACGTCATTGCACTCCAGCCTGGGTTGCAAGAGTGAAACTCCACCTCCAAAAAAAAAAAAAAAAAAGATGTTTGATATAAGTGGGATCATGCAACATTTGGCCTTTTGTATCTGGCTTATTCCACTAAACACAATGTTTTCAAGGTTCCTCCATGTTGATGGATGTATCAGTACTCATTCCTTTATTCCTTCTGATGGCTGAATAGTATTTCATTACATAGATATATTGCATTTCATCATCAGGTTCTCATGGTGAACCACTCATCTGTTGATAGCCATTTGGGTTATATCTAACTTTTGACTATTGTGAATACTGATATGAACATGGTTGTATAAGTATGTGTTTGATTCTCTACTTTCAGTTCTTTTGGGTATATACCCAGAAGTAGAATTCCTGGATCATATGGTAATTCTATGTTTAACTTTTCTTTCTTTCTTTTTTTTAGATACAGGGTCTCACTCTGTCACCCAGGCTGGAGTACAGTGGCACAATCACGGCTCACTGCAGCCTCAACCTCACAGGCTCAAGTGATACACTCACCTCAGCCTCCTGAGTAGCTGAGACTGCAGGCATGCACCACCATGCCCAGCTAATTTTTTCAATTTTTTATAGAGGTGGGGCCTCTCCGTGTTGCCCAGGCTGGTCTCAAACTCATAGGCTTAAGTGACCTTCCTGTCTTGGCCTCCTAAAATGCTGGGAATACGGGCATAAGCCGCTGCACCCAGCCTATGTTTAACTTTTTCAGAAATCACCATACTGTTTTCACAGCAGCTGCACCATTTTATCTTCCTACCAACAATGTATAAGCGTTCCAATTTCTCCACATCCTTACCACCACTTGTTATGTTTCATTTTTTAAATAAAAGCTGTGCTAATGGGTGTGAAAGGGTATCTCACTGCAGTTCTGATTCACATGGCCCTAATGACTAATGATGTTGAGCATCTTTTCCTGTGTTTGTTGTCCATTTGTGTATCTTCTTTGGAGAAATGTCTAGGGAGGAATCTTTTCCAATTGAGAGATGATGTTGGCTCACACCAGAGTAAGAGCAGAGAAAGTAGTGTGAAGTGGTCAGGCTCTAGGCATGTCTTTGGAGGATGGAGCAGACAGGGTTTGCTGATGGACTAAACGTAGGGTATAGGATAAATAAAGATGACTCTAGCATTTCAGGACTGAGAAATCACTGAGATGGAAGGCTTCAGGGTAAGCACGCTTGTGGGGAGGAAGAGGAGTTAGGTAGGATTCTGAGACCCCTGCAACTTGAGGATTGGAACCCTAGGAGGAATTTAATGCTTCGAGAAAGTGAACAGTGGGAGAAGAGAGGTTTCCTATCATTTACCACCAAGCTGTCTATGAGAACCTTCTAGGGTCACTTTTTCACTTTAGCAATTCCTGGTCACCTGGAGTCATTGGCCCGGCTAGACTCCCCAGTCTCATTCCTAGTTTGAGACCTTAGAGGTGGGAAATGTTCCTCAGGCTGCAGATCTAATTATGGCCTGCAGGTGGCACTGCAGAGCCAGAAATAACCAGGGCCCTGCGACGGTGGGCTACGGACCCGGGACCAAAAATTGGAGTTGAATTGTAGAAAAGCACAGTTCTCAAATCTTTGCACCAGCGGATTTGAGGACTCAAAGCAGTAAATGTCGAACCCAAGTTTTCAACGGGAAGGTCCCAGCGGGTAGCTGATTCCAAGAGACACATGCACGAGTTCATTTACCGCCGGTGAATAGTTACTGGGTATCTGTCGAGCACCTACTAAGGGCCACGCGGTGTGTTAGGTGCTGTGGATTCAGCCGTGACCAGGAAAGACTCAGTGCCTGCCTCAGAGTTGTATGGAGGCTGAAACAACAAGAAACACACCAACAAACAGATAAAATAATAAGATAACTACAGATTGCATTATAGGGGAAAGAAACGGGATTATGTGATGGAGAATAAGGGAGGAAGGGAATTATGTGAGGAGATGAAGCTTGGGTTGAGACCTGAAAGGTGAGAAGAACCCTGCAGCCTCTCCAGCGGCCCTTGCCAGATAAGTAAACTGGAGTTGAGAGGGAATCTCTCAGTTTCTGTGGTCGCACAGCCAATCACACCCAGCATCACTATTTGAAGTCAGGCCCTGCAGACTCTGAAAGGGGCTTGCTAATGGCTGTCGGGAAGACTGGGTGAAGTAATGAGGGCAAAGCCCTTAGGACAAAGCATGGCAGCTAATCGGTGATTTCTCAAATGGAAGCAGAGTTCTCAAAGAAACCTCCAGAACACACCCAGCCTTTCCTGCCTTTGCTGTGAGGCCAGTGGGAAAAAATGTAATGATGCCAGGTAAGACTTGCACCACTGACATTATAATGATGCAAACGTGTGTGCAAAGGTGAGGTGGAGACTCCTGGCTTCTTCAACTCTGAGAGAAAGACAGGGCCCCAGCCAGGAGACGTGTGCCCGGGAGCTCTGCCCTGACCCCCAGGAGTGGGCTGGGAGCAGGAGGCCAAGGACCCCAAGGGCGCAATCCAGGTGCTGGCCCTGAGCAGGTGAACTTCCCATGTGTGGGGACCTAGTACTCCCTGCCTGGAGGTACCTGACCTCCACATCCCACATTCCAGGGAGAACCAGGGCTTTCTCTCCAGCTGTGGTGGGCCACTCACTTGCCCCACTAAAGCTACAGAGACCCTCCTCACACACACTCACATGCTTACACATAAACACTCATTCACCCCATTTCCATTCACATGTCCACACACTCAGATGTGTGAACTCACACACACATACATGTGCTCATACCTTAATACTCAAACATTTATATCCACATGTTCATACACTCACACTCAGTCACTCACCCACGTACAGTTGCAGATACACTCAAATGTTCACAGGTTCACTCATACACTTAAACCCATGCTCAGTAATACACACATTTGTATAATCATAATTCAAACATATATATTCAATCTGCTCACACACATTTGCTCTCAAGCATTTACCTACAGTTACACACTCTCATGAACTCACACTCATCCACACACATAGTTACACACACAGATTCAAACATTCACAGGCTGATATATTTGTACATGCTGACTCACATCCAATGAACACACGCTCACAGACACTTGGCTATTCACACACATTCACACAACACACACATGCACACACCCACACTTCACTCACTTACTATTTATATTTCACAGTCATACATGTACTCATTTATATGCACATTCACACATGCTTGCAAAGATGTTGACTTACCCACTCAGCCATACCCGTATACACACAACATTCACACCTGCTCATACTCAGATTTGACTTACATACACACACTTATACTCAAGTGCTCAGACATTTACACTGATATACTCACATAGACTCACATATTCACACACATATGAATATTCATGCCCACACACTCAAACATTTACACACATTCACTCATCAGGGAGATGTGCCCAATCGTCTGACCAATCAGTAGCATCAGGAAGGCATTTCCTTTGTGTTCACATCTGCACCCTCTGTGGGTTAGTGTGCTGATTGAATGATGAGAGATTGCCCAAGAAAGGATCCTCGACTCTGCCAGGAGGTTCTTGTAGCATCTCCCCAAGAACACCTTTCTCCTTGGGGAGTAGCCCCTCACTGCTTGCCTTGGGGTCCCTGAGAATAATCGTGGGCTGAGAGTCAATGGAGCAAGGGCCAGGCGTGTGGTCTGAGAGGTAAGAAGGAATGAGAAGAAAGGGAATCACAGCCAGACATCTCAGGAAATCTCAGAACATACTCTATGAAATCATCATTCATTGGCCCCTTCCTCCCCCAAGTGTCAGAACCTTGTAGTACAAATAAATGAATATTTTTAGAGTGCTTACTCTGGGGGCCAAAGACCATAAGTCTAATCATCCACAGACCATCTCAGTCTACAGACCCTTTTCTTTGAGCTGCACATTTTTAAAATTTGAATTTCAAAAAATTAGCCAGGTGCAGTTGTGCACACCTGCGTTCCCAGCTACTTGGGAGGCTGAGATGGGAGAATTGCTTGAGCCCGGGAGTTTGAGACTGCAGTGAGCCATGATGGCACCACTGCACTCCAGTCTGGGGGATAGAGCGAGACCCTGTCTTTAAAAAAAAAAAAAAATGAATTCCAACGTCTTTGGCAGAAGAGAGGGCACTTCTGGAATGATCAAGTCAGGACCTCTGAAAATCCACTCCTCCGTAAGAGCAATGAGAACACTAGCAAAAATTGTCAAAATTGATGTTTTCAGTACTCCGGGAGTTAATCAAAGGCTTACAACAATGCAGGAGCATTTTTTTCAAGACAATCTCAGTAAGAACAGTGAGATTTGTGACATTTTAACTTGTCCTATTTCCATCTCCCTCTCCTAGTTCTGCAGTATTCTTGAAAACTGACAGCCTTACAATAATGATAGCCATGAGAACCAGCACCTTAGCAGCTGCTGGAGGGGAAAGAAGGGTTTGGAGCTTGCTAACAAGTCCCATCCCCAGAAAGTTGTCATCATTTGACCTGTCTGGAAGTTCCTTGGAAGTCCCTACTCTCAGAGCTTGCCTTTATTTGACCTGAGAGTTCAGTCAATGTGAACAGCCTTTACCCTGGGGACATTTGTCAAAAACCATCAACAGCAGTTGTTTAATATTGTAGCTGCCAGAGGCAGTGATAACAGATGGGGCAAACAAGAAGCTGACCAAAAAATTTAAAAGAAAAGTTAGGAATGAGATGTCCATTGGGGGCTTTGAAAAACTCCCACATATTTTTGGGGATCTAGACGGCTGTGCACATGTACAAGACTGTGCACTTTCCCAGGAAATACCTGATAAAACCATAATCCCTCACTGCTGGCTCACCTTGAGGCTCTGCTCAAGCAGGAAGTGAAGACTAAGGTAGTGTGGTAATGCTGGAATGTTGAAAGCATATCCTAACAACACACACAGAGTCCCTTGTCAAAGGCTGGTAGACTTACTGGTCCAGAGCATTCAAAGAAATCTCTGTCTGATATGGTTTGGCTCTGTGTCCCCACCTAAATCACATCTCAAACTATAATCCCCATGTGTCGTGGGAGGGAACTTGTGGGAGGTGATTAGATCATGGGGGCAGTTTTACCCCATGCTGTTCTCATGATAGTGAGTTCTCATGAGATCTGATTTTATGTGACAATTTTTCCTGCTCACACTCTTGCCTGCTGCCATGTAAGACATGCCTGCTTCCCCTTCCACTATGACTGTAAGATTCCTGAGGCCTCCCCAGCCACATGGAACTGTAAGCCGATTAAACTTATTTCCTTCAAAAAATTACCCAGTCTCAGATATTCTTTATAGTAGTGTGAAAACAGACTAATACACTGTCCAATCATTAGCTGACCACTAAGTTAACCAAGCAGAGACTTTAGTAAAACATGGCAAAGAATACAGACTTTACAGAATTAGTCCAGGAAAGACATTAAACAAACAGAGGCAGCAACAACAATGAACAGCAACAACAACAAACCCTGGGGAGGGAGACATCTGATTTCCAGAATTTTCACACTATATTATTCAAAATTTTGAATTTTTAACAACTTTCAAGGCACATAAAGAAACAGAAAAGTATGACCAATACCCAGGGGAAAAAAACAGGCAGTAGAAACTGTTCCTGAGGAAGGCCAGAACTTTGACTTAATAGAAAAATATTTAAATCAGCTATTTTAAATATATTCAAAGAAATTAAGGAAACTATGCCAAAAAAAGTGAAGGAAAGTGTGAGAACAGTGTCTCACCAATCAGAGAATACCAATAAAGAGATGTAAATTACTTTTGTAAAGAACCAAATAGAGGCCAGGCATGGTGGCTCATGCCTCTAATCCCAGCACTTTGGGAAGCCAAGGCGGGCAGATCACGAGGTCAGGAGATCGAGACCATCCTGGCCAACATGGTGAAACCCCTTCTCTACTAAAAATACAAAAAAAAAATTTAGCTGGGTGTCGTGGCGTGTACCTGTAATCCCAGCTGCTTGGGAGGCTGAGGCAGGAGAATCGCTTGAACCCAGGAGGTGGAGATTGCAGTGACCCGAGATCATGCCACTGCACTCCAGCCTGGGCAACAAGAGCAAGACTGTCAAACAAAACAAAACAAAACAAAACGAAAAAAAACAAATAGAAACTTTAAAATTGAAAAATATATAACAAGTTAACAATTCACTGGAGGGTTCAGCAGCAGATTTAAGCTGGCAGAAGAAAGAATCAGCTAATGTGAAGACTGGTCATTTGCAGTGATCTAGCCTGAGCAACAGAAAGAAAAAAAAATGAACAGAGCCTCAGATAACTGTGGGATACCGTAAAGTACACTAAAATACATATAATAGAGGCCTCAGGAGGAAATGAGAGGATAGTGAGAAAAAGGCAGAAGGAATATTTGAGACATGATGGCCAAAGACTTCCTAAATTTGATTTCTTTTCAAAACAGTAATCTACAAAATCAAGAAGCTCAACAGGTCCTCAAGTAGGATACATTCAAAAGATCCACTCCTAGACACATCATAATGAAACTATTGAAAGCCAAAGGCAATGAATGTAGGAAGTAGCAAGACAGAAAAAGACTCATCATATACAAGGGATCCTCAATAAGCTTAACAGCTGATTTCTCATCAGAAACCGTGGAGACAAGAAGGCAAAGGGATGGCATGTTCAAGGTGCTGAAAGACTCACCAAGGCTTGGTGCAGTGCCTCACACCTATAATCCCAGCACCTTAGGAGGCTGAGACAAGAGGATCACCTGAAGCCAGGGATTCAAGACAAGCCTGGGCAACAAAGCAAGATGATGTCTCTACAAAAAAAGTGAAATATTAGCCAGGCATGGTGGCACACACCTGTAGTCTTAGCTGTTTAGGAGGCTGAGGCAGGAGGATCACTTGAAACTGAAAGAAAGACTCAATCAAAAATTCTGTCTCTAGGAAAACTATCTCTCTCTTTTTCTTTCTTTCTTTTTGTGACAGGATTTCACTCTGTTGCCCAGGCTGGAGTGCAGTGGTGTGATCACAGCTCACTGCAACCTCAAACTTCTGAGCTCAGATGATCCTCCCACCTCAGCCTCCTAGGTAGCTGGGACTACAGGCATGTGCCACCATGCCTCACTAATTTTCATATATAATTTTTTTTTTAGAGATGAGGGTTTCACCATGTTGCCCAGGCTGGTCTCTAACTCCTGGGCTCAAGCGATCTGCCCACCTCAGCCTCCCAAAGTGCTGGGATTACAGGCATGAGCCACCACACCCGGCAGGCAGATGGATTTTAATCCAGTTATATACTGTTTACAAGAGATACACTTCAGATTCAAATATTCAAATAGATTGAAAGTAAAAGAATGAAAAAAATATACTATGCAAACAGTAATTAAAATACAGCTAGAGTGGCTATATACGATATCAGACAAAATAGGCTAAGACAAAAATTGTTGCTACAGACAAGGACATTTTATGATGATTAAAGTTTCAGTCCAGCAAGAAGACACAATAATTATTAACATATTATGCACCTAACAACAGAACTCAAAATGCATGAAGCAAAGTCTTGGTGGGGGTGGCGGATGGGCACAAGTTTCTTTATTTTTACTCAACCCCCTAGCTAGGATTGTCAGATAAATACAAGACACCCAATTACATTTAAATTTTTAATAAACAACAAATAATATTTTCAGTGTAAGTATGTCTCACATAGTATTTGTAACCTAATTATACTAGAAATTTATTCGTTGTTTATCTGAAATTTGAATTTAAAAGAGCATCCTGTGTTTTAATTTGCAATACCTGGCAACGCTATACCTATCACATTTCTATTATTTGCCATCCCCTGAAGACATTTGAGTTTGCAACCACCACTGAGGGCACATTTTTAAGCAAAGGACTAGGTCTTCCTTCCTTATGTAATTCAAAGCTGGTCAAATGAGAATTTGGACTCTTGGTCACCAGGGGAAGCGGTTCTTAAATGTACTGATTCTTGTTTTAATGACAAAGGTCTCCCTTCCTCCCTCCTGACTTCTTCCTTCCCTTCCTCCCTCTTTTCCTTTCTTCTCTCTTTTTTTTTCTTCTTCTTCCTCCATTCTTCCTTCTCTCCCTTCCTTCCTTCCACAAGCATTCTTTGAATACCTACTATGTGTGGAGTCCTGCCGTAGTTACCAGAGTGGCACAATGAGGCATAAAGCACATTTCTTTTCTCTCTGGCACTCAAACCTGCACCCCCAGAGACATCAATCTAGAACTCTGCACCAGCATCACCCGGAAGCTTGTTACAACTACAGATCCCAGTCTCACCTTAACCTCATAGCAAATAGAAGACTAGAGGTTTGGCCTAGGAATCTGAATTTTCCACAAATGCCAAATCAGATCTGTATAGTCCACCAGGCTCTGGAGGTGCATCAGAAGACTCTAATCTAGGTGAGCTTCCCACCCATCCTGCGAGTCTCCTCTGTCGTGTCCTGGCGGGCCATCTCCTAGCTCCTGCTCGCACATCTCCAGGGCCATCTCTCCCTCGAGGGACCTAACCATGAGAAAGTGTTCCCCCACGGGAGCTGGAATCCAAGGCTGGGTCACCAGAGCTACCCAGAGTCTTCCTTTTACCCAGAGGTATCCTTTTTCCATACCAGACACCAGTGTCCCTTCAGTTCTTTCTGAAGTTTTCCTCAGGGCAAGCTGTCCAGGTGTCTCACTCTTGAGCTGGGGGAGAGAGACAAACAAGGAGGACAGGTCCCTCATTAAATGAGCAAGCAAGGACATTGGCCCTGTGGGTGGCAGGAGGACATCTTCGGGGTGTGCTGGCTATTTAGGTTGGTCATTCCAGCCAACCCAAGAGCCTGATCACAGCCCTGGCTCCCTGGTCAGTCATCTGAGCTCTATCAGTCACCCACTCCGAAGGAGTCCGGTGGTGGCCAAGACAAACCCAGCTGTCCGCTCCCTTTGCAGAACCCCCATCCCACAGAAGGGATGAGATAGTGTGACTCAGCATCTGCTGCAGGGGAGGAGCTGGCCCCTGGTTGAATTTTAACAGGATTCGAGGGTAGGGAAATAGTTTGAAAGTGTCAGGCCATCTTTCACCATCTTCTATGCTGCACTCCCCTCCTTACTTCTGTTCTCCCTCCCCTACCATTGCCCTCCCAATTCTTTCTTCATTATGCAAAGCAGCCTGGGAGCTCGGGGGAGTGGGGAAAAGGAGGGCACCAAAAGAAGAGAGTCCAGAGCCCGCAGCTTCTACCCGCAAGCCACCTCTCCAGTCTGCTCCCTGTCCAGACACACACAGAGCCCCCCGCCAAATTCAGTGGCACAAACTGTTCCCCATTTTTTTGCACACGTAAATGTGTGTGTGTATGTGCTGGTGTTTATAACAGGGTGTTACACTGGAACTACTAAGTCACCAAGGTGAAATAGATAAGACACCCAGACCAAGATGCAAATGTTCAAAGGAAATAAACAACAGTCGTTTTATTTTTAGACGGACTCTCGCCCTGTCACCCAGGCTGGGGTGCAATGGCGCGATCTCGGCTTACTGCAACCTCTGCCTTCCAGGTTCAAGTGATTCTCCTGCCTCAGCCTCCTAAGTAGCTGAGATTACAGGCGCGTGCCACCACGTCTGGCTAATTTTTTTTCTTTTTTTTGTATTTTTAATAGAGATGGGGATTCACCATGTTGGTCTTAAACTCCTGACCTCGTGATCCGCCCGCCTTGGCTTCCCAAAGTGCTGGGATTACAGGTGTGAGCCACCGCACCTGGCCAACAAAAGCCATTTGTAAGACCCTAAAACATCTCACCTGCATTGAGGTTATATAATGATCTAGTTGTTGGAGATCAGAGGAATTAGTGAGGAGGACTTTGGAGAGCGGGTCTTTCAATCTCCCCACCCCAGCCCTACCCCACCGAGGGGCAGAGCTGAGGATGCCTCTACCTGAGCCAGTTGAGGGCACTGAAGCAGGACCATTGGAAAGCTGCATCTGGGCTCCTTGCAGGATGGAGGAGCTGGGCCTGTCTCTGACTCCCACCTCAGCAAACTGAAAGACAGGAGAAAAAGGAGCCTCGGAGAGGCGGTTGAGCAGGCAGCTTCAGTCCCCTAATGATCTCCAAGGTGATCAGAGCTAGAACATGTGAAGATTTTCTGTAGATCAGATGTGGGCCCCTGCAGGAGCTGGCCTGATCATGCCCCAGGGGACGATCTGGAGCAATGTTCATGCCAACTCGGTGGGAAGGGAAAAAATAGGAGCCGAGAAGAGAGCCACCAGCGGGAGGTGAGTGTGTCCCCCACAGCAAAAGGCAGGATGAGAGGCTCTCAGCTGGGAGTGGGGATGTCTCCAGAATCCATGAAAGCAGCCGGGGAGATTATAAGATGGATCACCTTGACACATAGGTCAGCACAAAACCACCCTGGACCCATATCACTCAAGTAAAAAATCTCCAGCTCGCTGAGAGCTCCTCCCTCCCTTGCCCCCTCCCCGCCCCATGCCAGGGGTTAGAAACTACCTTAGAAAGATTGAGGGCAGGGGAGACTTTATGATGGAGACAGAGAAAAAGAGATCCACCCGTACTCTAGTAAACTTTAAGTTGGAAATTTGGCTGTTCCCAGACTGGACATTCTAAGACTATATTTAAAAACCTAAAATGAATATAAAACTTAAAAAAAAAACCTAGTGAATTAGGGTTCTCTAGAGAAGCAGAATCAATAGGATATGAATATTTAGAGGAAGAGGTTTATTGTGAGAAACTTGTTCATGCAATTATGGTGGCTGGAGACCTAGGAGAGCTGATGGTGTCCTTCCAGTCCAAAGGCCATCTTCTGTAGAACCAGAAGGAGCCAATGTTGCAGGTGAAGTCTGAAGGCCACCTGCTGGAGAATTCTCTCTTGTTAGAGAAGGGGTTGCATAGGCTGGTCTTTTAAGGCCACTCAAGCCTTCAACTGATTTGGTGAGGCTCACTCACATCGTGGTGGGCAATGTGCTTCACTCAAAGTCTGCTGATTTAAATGTTAATCCCATTCAAAAAACACCCACACTGTCCAGGCGTGGTGGCTCATGCCTGTAATCGCAGCACTTTGGGAGGCCAAGGCCGGCAGATCATTTGAGGTCAGAGGTTTGAGACCAGCCTGGCCAACATGGTGAAACCCCATCTCTACTAAAGATACAAAAATTATCTGGGCGTGGTGGTGGACGCCTGTAGTCCCAGCTACTTGGGAAGCTGAGGCAGGAGAATCACTTGAACCCAAGAAGTGGAGGTTGCAGTGAGCCAAGATCGTGCCACTGTGCTCCAGTGTGGGCGACAGAGTGAGACTCTGTCTCAAAAAATAATAATAATAAAAAAGGAGATAGACATGGAAGTCAGGTGTGGCAAGCAAACATGTAGACCTGGGCTGTGGGACCCTCGGAAGGGATGTGGGGCCAAGCTCTTGGAGGGCCTGAGGAATCAGCCCAAGGAGCTCTGGCTTTCAGTAGCTACTCTTGTGTGTAGCAGAGCAGGCTGGAGTAGAGTGAAGGGAGCCTGGGGTAAGGAAATAAATCAGGAGTCAAGAAGTAATGATGCTAATGCTGCTGGCTGGGTGCGGTGGCTCACACATTTAATCCTGGCACTTTGGGAGACTGAGCAGGCGGACCCCTTTGAGTTCAGGAGTTCAAGACCACCCCAGGCAGCATGGTGAAACCTCGTCTCTATAAAAAATTAGCTGGGTGTGGTGGTTCACACCTGTAGTCCTAGCTACTTGGGAGGCTGAGGTGGGAGGATGGTTGGAACCTGGGAAGTGGAGGTTGCAGTGAGCCAAGATTACACCACTGCACTCCAGCCTGGGTGACAGAGCAAGACTCTGTCTTTAAAAAAAAAAAAAAAAAAGCATTTTTCTAAACTCAAATATCTAATAAATCATAATGAAAATTAGATAATACTAATAAATGATTAAAAGTATGCAAATTAAAAATTGTGAGATGCCACACAAAGCATCGAGAGCAATCTGTAGCTTTATTTACATTAGAAAAGCAGAAAAGATGAAAATGAAGCTAATACCCAGCATATGTTAGAAAATATAATGAGAATAAACTCAAATAACATAAATGGAAGGATAAACAGGTAAATGAATGAAACAGAAAATAAAGATAATGATAGAGAGAAGTAACAGAGCTAACAGTTGGTTCTTTGAGAAAAGTATCATATACAAATCTTCAATGAGACTAAGAAAAAAATCATAAAAACTCATATTTGAAATTAACAGGAAGACATAACTATAGAGGTAGAAAATATTTTAAAAGATAATAGTGCATATTGTGAAAAACTGATGCCAATATATTTGAAAATGTGTACCAAGTAGACAATACCCTAAAAATATAACTTTAAGAAATTGATTTATGAGGAAATGGAAATCCTAAGTAGCTCAATAGCTACTATATAAATTTGATCAATAGTTAAGAAGTGCCTCTGTGCCTCTGTCTCTCTGTGTCTCTGACACACATACACACACGCACACACACAAACACACACACACACACACACACACGGCCCTAATGGTATTATTGACTAAATGCCAAACTCATTCTAATTTTTAAGAAATACTCCCATAAAATTGACATAAGGGGCTACTTTGACATAAGGGGCTGTTTTCCAATAAATTCTATGAGAACACTAGGATCTTAATACCAAAACCAAACAAATATTAGGAATAATAAAAATTATAAGCCAGTCTTACACAGGAACACTGATATAAACAATCCTAAGGAATAGCAAGCATTGACCATGCCTCCAAATTGAAGAATTAATACAAACATAACAATTTAGCTCAAGTGCTAAAACAGACCTACTATTTAAAAGTACTGAGTATACACAGAGCCATGGGAGTTGCTGTTGGAGAAATCTTCATGAAGGAAGGAAGGCTGAAACAGTTTTAAAATCCTAGGTTTCTCTCTTTTTTCTTTTTTTGTCTTGGAGAATAGGTACAAATAGGAGTAAAAACAGGAAGCTTGGGGAAGTAAATAAACCTGCATGGATGGATTGTGGGTGCACTGGGGAGAACAGTAACAAATAAGGTTGGGGGGGAAATTGGAGATAAATGCATCATCACAATCAAGAATGATTTGCTGGCGGGGTGCAGTGGCTCACACCTCTAATCCCAGCACTTTGGGAGGCCCAGGCAGGCGGATCACCTGAGGTCAGGAGTTCGAGACCAGCCTGGCCAACATGGCGAAACCCTGTCTCTACTAAAAATACAAAAATTAGCTGGGCGTGGTGGGGTAAACCTGTAATCGCAGCTACTTGGGAGGCTGAGGCAGGAGAATTGCTTGAACCTGAGAGGTGGAGATTGCAGTGAGCCAAGATCGCACCACTGCACTCTATCCTGGGCGACAGAGCAAGACTCCATCTCAAAAAAAAAAAAAAAAAGAATGATTTGCTGAACACTTAGTATATAACTGGGAACAGTGAAGTTATGGAATTGATTGTCAGCTCAGTAGACGGCACTCAAATCCATTAATTGGGGGACAGACCGATGGGCAGGCAGGTGAACGGATACATTTGACAGGAAACAAGTAGAACTGGCTTTTGAGAAGACACATTTTAAAGTTTCATTTGGCCATAAATTGAATTGCTTTTCAAAAGCTGCACTTAGTGACACTGAAAAATCAGGAAACCAAGCTAGACAGAGTTCCCACGTGAAAACCCGATGTAAAGCATCTGTTACCTACTTGCATGGTATCACTGGAAGTCAGAAGCAGAGCTCTTTTGTGATGTTTAAAACCTGCACGATATCCAGTGCACTATTATTTGTGTATCTATTTGTCTGATGATGGAAATTTGGTTTGTCCCTACTTTCCTTTTTTTTTTTTTCTTGAGATGGAGTCTCGCTCTGTCGCCCTGGCTGGAGTTTAGTGGCGCGATCTCGGCTCACTGCAAGCTCCACCTCTGCGCCAGGCCGGTTTGTCCCTACTTTGTATTCTATTAGAAACATTGCTACAGGCTGAGCGCAGTGGCTCACGCTTGTAATCCCAGCACTTTGGGAGGCCAAGGCGGGTGGATCACTTGAGGTCAGGAGTTCGAGACCAGCCTGGCCAATATGGCGAAACTCCATTTCTACAAAAAATACAAAAAATTAGCCGGGCATTGTGGTGGGTGCATGTAATCCCAGCTACTCGGGAGGCTGAGGCAGGAGAATGGCTTGAACCTGGGAGGCAGAGATTGCAGTGAGCCAAGATCCGGCCATTGCACTCCAGCCTGGGTGACAAGAGTGAAACTCCATCTCAAAAAAAAAAAAAAAAAGAGGAACATTGCTATATAGACAATCTGTGCTTATATTTCCTCTAATTGTGCAAGTATTTTACATAACAAACTACTAGAAATGGAGATTCATGAAATATGAAATTTTTATACTAGATAGATACTGCCCAATTCCCTCTGAGAAATTACGCTAATCCATATGCTCACGAAGAGTTTTGGGGAGTGGGTATTACCCCACAGGCTTACATCCTCACTGATGCTGGAAATTATTCATGAAGTTTGAGTACCCCTTATCTATAAAATGATTGACACCATAAGTGTTTTGAATTTTTTTTTTTTTGGAATATTCGTATTATATATAATTACCAGTTGAGCATCCCAAATCTAAATATACAAAATCCCAAATGCTCAAATAGAGCATTTCCTCTGAGTGTTATGTAGGTGCTCAAAAAGTTTTAAATTTTGGCACATTTTGGATTTCACACTTCTCAGATTTAGGATGCTAACCTGTATTTAACATGTATGCCAATCTGAAAGAACCTGTCTCAGCTCACTGCAGCCTCCACCTCCAGGGCTCAAGTGATCCTCCTGTCTCACAGCCTTCTGAGTAGCCAGGACTACAGGCGTGCACCACCACACCCAGCTAATTTTTTGTATTTTTAGTAGAGGCGGGTTTTGCCATGTTACCCAGGCTGATCTTGGACTCTTGGCTCAAGCAATCCTCCTGCCTCGGCCTCCGAGAGCGCTGGGATTACAGGCGTGAGCCACTGCACCCAGCCGTCTTCTCCTTGTTCTGCCATCAGCAGCCACATCCTGTGACTCCCCAGCCCACTCAGCTTCCCTTGTTTTCCATCACATGCAGAATAAAACCCAAAAGCTGGCCCCCAGCCGCTCTCCTAACCTTGTTTCTTATTGCTCTCCCGCTGGCTCCTCCTAGACCAACCTCACTCCTTGCTGACCTGAAACACACCCTGCACTTGGCTGTGGGACGAAAGTGGCCCTCACTGTTCCCAGAGCGCGCCACGGGGCTAACTCCCACGCTTCCTGCAGGGCTCTGCTCCAACACCACCTCCCCAGGAGGACTCATCCAGCACCCGTATGAAGCACCCATTCCGTGAAACACGCTAAATATTTTTATTTTATTATTATTTTTTTTGAGACAGGGTCTCACTCTGTTGTCCAGGCTGGAATGCAGTGGCACTATCTCAGCTCACTGAAACCACCACCTCATGGGTTGAAGCCATTCTCCTGCCTCAGCCTCCCGAGTAGCTGGGACTACAGGCGCATGCTGCTACGCCCAGCTAATTATTTGTATTTTAGTAGAGACGAGGTTTCACCATGTTGCCCAGGCTGGTCTCGAACTCCTGAGCTTAGGCAATCCACCCGTCTCAGCCTCCCAAAATGCTAGGATTACAGATGTGAGCCACCACGCCTGGCTGAAACACACTAAATATTTTCAATCATTTCTGTTTTTAATTTTTCTGGCAGTTATTCAAAACTCTAAATGTGAGTAAGCCCCCTACTTCTAGATTTGTAATTTCATAAAAGTTGAGCAATTAGCTCACTTGTACCATGCCCTGGCTACACTCATTGTAACTGTTTCTCATCTCCTGTAGCAAACTTCATTTAGAGGTCACCTTTATAACTCTGTACCTGTCTTCTCAGCTCTATTTCGGGAGCTATCACGGGGAAATGACATCTGCGTACCACTCCTAAGTCCCATAGCCTCTGACAGCTGTATCCGACAAGATCGGGTGCGTTCAGGCTGGTATGAGCGAAGACCCCGCTGATAACTTTACATGGCCTTTTCCCACCTATTGTCCAAATTCTGTCAACTCTAGCTTGTTTAAATGGTTTTATTTTTATATTTTCTGTAAATACAATTAAGCTTTTCATGCTTTGTGTGCTGATTCAGAAAAGTAAAATAAATAAGAAAAGTAAAATAAATAACTAGCATTTAGGTTAATATGATTACGTAACTTTCCCCCTATGGATCCAAGACATAAAACTGGACACAATGACTCCATACCAGCCCTGCATCAAACTGTTTCCTGTGAAAATGGGTTTTTAGATTTATCATCCATTATATGTTTAAAGTCATGCCTCATCTTAATTGGTCTCATGTTTGGTCTGACTTTCTAGCACAGATCTATTGTACTAGAATATGTAATTGGCTTACTTACATTTTTGACATAACAAGCATATGGATTCCCCCTCATTACTAAGAGTCCTAATTGTAGCCTCTTAGCTTAATTATAACCTGTTTAATACTAAATTCACTTTCTCTGTGAAATCTCTCTTCGTGGCGCTCCCCTTGAATTCTTGTTCTAAGAGAGAGGGAGAGAGAGAAAGAGAAGGAGAGAGAGAGAGAGAGAGAGAAGGAAGGAAGGAGAGAAGGGAGGGAGGGAGGAAGAAAGGAAAGAAAGAAGGAAAGAGAAAGATCAGCTTCTTTTCTGCCTTTCCTCCTTACCCCCTTTCCCTTTTCCTTACCTTCCTTTCCTTCTTTTTCCTTTTCCTTTCTTTTATTTTCTTTCTCTCTCTCTGTTTCTTTCCCTCCCTCCCTCCCACCCTCCGTCCCTCCCTCCTTCCCTCCTTTCCCTCCCTCCCTCTCTCTCTTTCTCTCTTTCTTTCTTTCTTTCTTTTTTTCTTTCTTCTTTCTTCAGTATTCACACCTGGGGGACCCTTAACCCCAAAGTGGATTTTATGGACAACAGCACACTGGGGAGACAAGGAGCCCCACAGCACTCCCACCCTCTCCCCAGGTCACTTCTTGCTTCCTGGTCCTGCTCTTTATTGGGGAAGGAGAATCGTATTTGACCAGTGGAACTCCAGGACAGTCCCTGGCCACCATCAGTAGTGGGCAGGGTCACAGCATGTTCTAGGCTGTGCACACTGAGCCACCGGCCATGCACAAGGGCAGGGCCTTCTGGACCTCCCTCAAACTTCTTAATAACACATGAGGAAGCTCCCTGATGGGAGCCACTCTGACCCCATGCCACTCTAACCCCAGCACAGTCTGGTTCCCAGGACTTCAGGATCCTCCTGGAGACCTCTCAGCATGATTAACACAGTCAGACGAGACCTGAAGGGGCCGCTGGTCCTTCTGAAAATGCTCACTGGGCAGTGTGAGTGTGGGGAGGCCATGCACAATGTGTGGGACTCTGCCTTGCACCTGCTCAGAGCCTCAGCCCTTCAGAGCCACTGGTAATGATTTTCTGTGGGTGGGGTCATCCTGATACTTCTCTGAGGTCTCTTTTCCTTTCAGTTTTTCTGAGTAACTGAGAGGATCACATGACTGCATACTGCCTAAACTAGGGTGTGCACAGCCCCCATTCTGTGCAGGGAGGGCGCAAAGCAGCAGATTGCCTGTGACTCATCTGCCACCTTTCCAATGCTACTACAAAATTTGCAAGAAACGGTAGTGTTATCAGGAATCACCTTTATTTAAAAAGATAAAGCAGGATTGCTGGGCACACGGAAGCGTGAGCATATCGCCCGGCTTCTCTCCACAGCTGTCGCCCGGCTTCTCTCCACAGCTGTTGGCGTCCACTGTCAGGTTTCCATGTTCTTGGACCTCAGGGCCTTCATCCTCTCCAATCTAAATGCAGAGAGACATTTGATACGGACTCTCTCAGTTGTTTTGCAAAATGCAACACACTCTCATTGACTCTGGTCACCCTGCTGTGCGCTAGATGTCAAAACCTCTTCCTCCTGTCCGGACTTTGGTCCTTTAACCGACAACCCTGATGGTCTGCAGGTCAGTGCTGGGTGGGGGATGAAGCAAGGCTTTCTGGAGGCCAGTGTGCTGAGCCCTGCAGTGTGAGGAGAGGTCGCCTAAGTAAGTAGGGACAAGGGCAGGAGGGTAGCCTCTGCAAAAGCTCAGGGATGACCGAGGGTGTCTTGCTGGAGTGATGTGCTAGTCTGAAGGTAGGACTGGGGCCAGGTTGGGAGAGCTCGAGTCCCAGGACAGAAGCTGAGCCTGTATTCTGAGGGCCGTGGGCACTGTGGAATAGTTCTGAGCCCCCTTGCTGGGCCACAGCCTTCAAACCCTGACTCTGCTCCTGACGTGGGAGTGGGCTCAACTGAACTTTACCACCACACCAGCCTCACTGCCTCCAGTCTCCCCCACCCACACCCCTCCATTCAGGCTCCCAAAGGGATCCAAGGGAAAGCCACCTCTGGGCTCCACCACCCAGCTGGTGGCCCTGAGAGCTTCAGAGGGAAGCCCTTCTCCTTGTCCACCAGGGCTCACCTGGGCAGCCCCACAGCCCTGCCTTTCAGACCACCCCATGTGCCCAGGTG